>NC_000002.12:91586419-91770328 GCF_000001405.40 Homo sapiens
CAGGCTAGTCTCGAACTCCTGACCTCAAGTGATCTACCTCGACCTCCCAAAGTGCTGGGATTACAGGCTCTCAGTGAGTTTTAACATTGTCTTGAGATTACAATAAAGGGGGCTGACTTTAGCCTCCAGAAACTTTCATTTCATTGCTTCTTAAAAAAATGCAGGCCAGGTGTGGTGGCTCATGCCTGTAATCCCAGCACTTTGGGAGGCCAAGGGGTGGATCACCAGGTCAGGAGTTGAGACCAGCCTAACCAGCATGGTGAAACCGCATCTCTACTAAAAATACAGAAATTAGCCGGGCATGGTGGCAGGCGCCTGTAATCCCAGCTACTCGGGAGGCTGAGGCAGGAGAATCGCTTGAACTCAGGAGGCAGAGGTTACAGTGAGCTGAGATGATTGTGCCACTGCACTCCAGCCTGGGTAACAGAGTGAGACTCCATCTCAAAAACAAACAAACAAACAAACAAACAAACAAACAAAAGTGCAGGTAGCCCAGAGATAGGCATTCCACTTGATTTTCAGATAGTGACTGAGTGTTATTTATCTTTGTACTCAATGGGTTAAGGTACTGCTAGCTGCTGTAACATTTCAGACTTTGGTGGCTTAGCACAATGGAAGTTTATTTCTCACTGATGTAAGGTCCAGCTTCGGGAGGAAAAGCCGCCTCACTAGTCACTGGGGAGACACGCAGACAGGCTCTTCCATCTTCAGCTCAGCCTCCCAGGTTGCTCTGGCTGTTGGTAGGAAGAGGAGGGGAGAAGGTGGAAGATTCCCAGTAGGTTTGCTGGATCCTCTCTCTGGACTGCCTTTCCAGACCCCTGCTCCCTTCCGCCTGGCCATCCACTCCTAAGCCTAAAGAATGTGCAGGAGGCTGGACGTGGTAGCTGGAGCCTGTAATCCCAGTGCTTTGGGAGGCTGAGGTAGGAGGAAGGCTTGAGCCCAGGAGTTTGAGATCAACCTGAGCAACACAGCGAGACCCCTGTCTCTACAAAAAACAATTTTAAAAAAATGAGCCAGGCGTGGTAGCACACACCTGTAGTCCCAGCTATTCGGGAGGCTGAGGTGGGAGGAGCACTTGAGCCCCAGAGTTCGAGGCTGTAGTGAGCTATTATCACACCACTTCATTCCAGCCTGGGAGACATAGGGAGGCCCTGTCCTTATTAAAAGATAAAAATAAAATAAAGAAAGAAAGAAGACTGTGCAGGTGTTGCCTCCTCCCTGAACCTCGCAGCCTTCCTGCAGACCTGGGCTCCTCCCAGGCCCCTGGTGGTAGCCCTGCTCAAGTGTGCTGTGCTGCTTACTCTGTCCCCACCCCCAAGGTCTTAGAAGTTGAGGGCTAAGTCTCACAGGTCACGCTCCCCAGCTTCCCAGTCAAGGCTCATTAGCTGTTTGTTTATTGCTGTTTCTCTGCCTGAACATCAGCTCCACCTGAACAGAGCCTTTCATAGCTGAAACCCCAGCGCCTACAACAGAGACCAGCAAATGATTCACATGTCAACACATACATGTGTGTTGATCAAATGAATGAATGCATGAATTGGAAGAATGATGGCGGCAAGGCAAGGTCCCTCAGGTTGACTTCTTGCCGGCCCAGGACTCCCCACCCCTCCTTTACTAGTCAGGACCTGCTATTGCAATTTGCTGCGCTTAGCACAAAACAAAAACCTGGGCCTTCTTGTTCAAAAATTAAGAATTTCAAGACTGCAAGAGCCTTAAACCAAGAGGGAGAGGGTGTCTTCCGGGGCCCAGCCCCGGGCTGCTGCATGGTGGGATGGGGGCTCGCTCCCAACTCCCCTCTCCAACCTGCAGCTGGGGGGCTGGGGTCCACCGCCTCCTGTCAGCCACGCCCGACCGGTAGAACGCTCTTCTGCAGAAACTTCCCAGACCTCCACTTAATGGCACCCAAGCAGGGCACCCTGGCAGACACAGTCTCCTTCCGGGAGCAGGCAGGTGCAAGGCAGGCACCGGGGCTTTGGAAGGGGCTGGTGGAGATGCTTGGGTGCCGGTAGCCCCAGGGCAGACCCTGGGGCCTCCCTCATTCCAGCTCCTCTGCGTCCAGAATGGCTGCCGCTCCTTTGGGGGAGGGTGCGGGATGGTCTCTTTTCTTAGAAAGTGGCTCAGGTCTTATTCTGCGCCTGGGCATCTCGCAGCCGACACACAGGCACACCAGATGGACAAACAGAAAAACCCACAGAAGGCGGCCCCTCCCCCAATTCAGAGAGCCAGTGACTGGCACTCCTCCACCCCTAACCAGACACACCCGAAAACAGACGGCCAGACACAGAGTGACCCGCACAGAGAAGACAATACAGAAATACGCAGGGACAAGGACAGACCATCGGACGCTCGGACACGGACCCAGGCAGGATCACCTGGACCTCTGGGTTCCCCAACGGAGACCCTCGGGGAAGGCCCGGAGCATCGCACGCCCCTGTGGAGCCCCGTGCGCCCCACTTGGCAGCAGCCACGCCCCCCGTGCACACCCCACTTCGGGCTGGCTCTGGAAGACCCCCTCTCCCCAGCCCCGCAACCCCGGGACTCTGGGAGGCATCTCTCGTCACCCAGCGTTTCTGGGGCGCCCGGACAGGGGCTGGGTGGGTGGGCGTCGGCGCAGGGGTGAGGGCTGCAGACGGTGGGCGGGGGCCGGGCGCGCGGGCGGAGGTGCGGGAGGACGCGCTAGTGTCGGGGCAGGGCTGGCCAGTGTCCCAGGGATCAGGAGGGGGGAGCGGTCCGCGTGGGTCCCGGAGGGGACAGATGGCTGCCCCGGGCGTTGCCCAGTGAGGGGCAGTGGGCAAGGGAGCTCTTAGAATCCCGGGTCAGCGGGGTGGGGCGCTGGGTAAGTGGACAGGGTGGTACCTTGACTGAGGACGAAGGGGCAGAAGAGGGGAGGGCGGGCGTCGGGAAGTGACAGGAGACGGGGCAGGTTGTCGGGGGCGTGGGGTAGGAATCGGAGGGGAGTTGAAAAGGGGGGTGCTGGTTGGCAGAGGCGTCGGGGCAAGGACAGGAGCCAGGAGCGCAGGCGGGGCCCGACGGCAGCCACCCCCGGGGCCAGACTTGGCGCGGGTGTCTTGAAGATGCTTGAGGGCCTGGGGTCGCCCGCCTGGCCCCGGGCAGCTGCGAGCGCCTCAGTCGCGGGGTCATCGGGGCCCGCGGCCTGCCCGCCTCCCTCGCCGTCGGCCCCGAGGTCCCCGGAGTCCCCGGCCCCCCGGAGGGGCGGTGTGCGCGCCAGCGTCCCACAGAAGCTGGCCGAGATGCCGAGCAGCCAGTATGGGCTGATCGTGTTCGTGGCGGGGCTGCTGCTGCTGCTGGCCTGGGCCGTGCACGCCGCGGGCGTGAGCAAGAGCGACCTGCTGTGCTTCCTGACGGCGCTCATGCTGCTGCAGATGCTGTGGTACGTGGGCCGCAGCTCCGCGCACCGCCGCCTCTTCCGCCTCAAGGACACGCACGCCGGCGCCGGCTGGCTGCACCGGCTGGTGAGTCCAGGCACCGGGCAAGCGGGTCTCTGCCTCCTTGCCTGCTGGCTGCATCCTGAGACGGCTCTGCCCCCTTCCTACCACTGCCGTCTTCCCTTCAGCCTTTTCTGCCTTGGTCTCTCTGTGCATCTTTCCTAGCTTTCCTATCTGCCCTTCCTTCTTTCCTCTCTCTCTCTCTCTCTCTGAAGCCTGGGTCGCCGCGGGAGCCTCCTCTCCGCCTCCAGACGCTTCCATCATTACAGCCACAGTTACAGAAACCTCTCCTGTCCTTCCCTGGCTTAAAGCCATACAGTGGCCCTACTGACCCCATGATGGAGGTCACGTTCCCTCTCCTGACACTCAGAGCCTTCTAGCACCCGGCCCCCGAGGGCCCGTTTCCTTTGATCCCCTCCTTTGTTCTCATCCTATGCTGGGGTCATTCTCGAGGACTTTCTCTCCCGTCGCAGGATCTCTGCCTCTGCACATTCAGCACCTTTGGTTCCCTCCTCCAGGAATGTCTTTTCCACTCTCCCACCTGCCCCTCTGCTTTCCGAGACAGGCCTCAGGCCTCACCCCATTCTCCCCGCGAAGCTTCTCCGACCCCCTTCTCTTCCCCGCTTTGCAGGTCTGACCGCACGCTCCCAGCCCGCACTGGGTTCCAGTGTTCTTGTCCACATGTCTGTACCCTCCACTCCACTGGGGAGCTCTGTGATCCCTGTCTCTCGGTCCTAGAGCCACCTCAGGGCCTGGGCACAAGTGGGTTTTGAGAAAATGAGGGGGGATGAATGATGTAATGAATGCGTGGATACAGGGTGGGGCAGAGAGGGATAGAGGCTCCTGCTGGTACTCACGGGCATTGGCTGAAATCGTCAAGATAGGAGCTCTTCCTTTCTCAAGGGGCTGCCACATCTTTTTTTTTTTTTTTTTTTTTTTTTTTTTTTTTTTTTTTTTTGAGACAATGTTGCTCTATCTCCCAGGCTGGAGTGCAGTGGCACAGTCACAGCTCACTACAGCCTCTTCCTCCTGGGCTCAAGCAATCCTCCCACTTCAGCCTCCTGAATAGCTGGAACTATAGGTACACATGGCCTTGCCTGGCTAAGTTTTGTTATATTTTGTACAGATAGAGCCTCGTTGTGTTGTCTCCTGTTCTCAAACTCCTGGCCTCAAGGGATCCTCCTGCCTTGGCCTCCCAAAATGATAGGATCACAGGCATGAGCCACTGTGCCTGGCTGGGGTTGCCAGTCTTGAATGGGAGACAGACATGGTGCAGGTGAAAGGGAGGAGGCCGTGGGGAGCATGCTTGTGAAGAAAGCTTCTGTCTGAGTCACCTTCCCAGGAGAAGCCGACTGCATTTCACACCACGTGGTCCAGACACATCACACATTGCCACTTGCATTCTCATATTAGACCTGAATTTAAATCTCCATTAGAGTGGGGCTTCCGTGTTCCTTGCATGCATGACCTCGGGCAAGTTACTTGATTGCCTTCCTTACCCTGAACCCTGGTGTCGGCATCTGTAGAATGGGGATCTCACACTGGATAGGATCCAGTGATTGATGAGGTGGCTGCCCAGCACACACTAGGCCTCCTTTCTGCACTTCTTTCAAAGGTCCTGGCCAGATGCCACCTTCTTCACAAATGCCTGGCAGGAATTACTCCTCACTTCCATGGGCCACCATGGCCCTCCTTCTGTAAAGCTCTTTTGGTCCTTGTCTGTTTCTGCCTTGTATTATGACTGTTGAATATTAGCCTTATCATCCAGAAGAGATTTTAGACTTCTTAGGCTCAGGGACTGGATCTAGTTCATCTTGCTTTTGGGGAAATTTGACACCATTGCAGGGTGGCCCAAATTCCTGTTCTGAAATTGGTTGTTTTAGGGAAGTTAATGGTTTTGTGACTCTGTGAATGACAGTGAATCTGGTGCTATTTAAAACAAGGCACTAAGTGTTATTTTAGGATATTGACTTACACAGGCTAAAAAGTATTATACACATGAGCCTTTACCTGTGTTTTCCTACAGTCAAAGCCCCCTTTTTTGTTCCTCACTTCTTTTTCTCCTCCATCCTTTTTTCTCCCTTCTTCCTTCCCTCTTTCTCCTTTCCTTTCTTCCTCTTCCCTCCCTCCCTATTCCCTCCCCTTCCCTTTTCTCTCCCTTTTCTTCCTTTTTTTCTTTTTTTTGAGATGGAGTCTTGCCCTGTCACCCAGGCTGGAGTGCAATGGTGCGATCTCGGCTCACTGCAACCTCCGCCTCCCGGGTTCAAACGATTCTCCTGACTCAGCCTCCCAAGTAGCTGGGATTATAGGCGCTGGCAACCATGCCCAGCTATTTTTTGTATTTTTAGTAGAGACGGGGTTTCATCATGTTGGCCAGGCTGGTCTCGAACTCCTGACCTCGTGATCTGCCTGCCTCAGCCTCCCAAAGTGATGGGATTACCAGTGTGAGTCACCATGCCCAGCCTCCCTTTCCTTATTTTTTCCTCATTTTCTTTCTCTCTTCTCCTCCTTCATCCTTCCTTCCTCTCTTCCTTCCTCTAGCCTTCCCTCCACTATCCCTCTTCCCTCTCTCCTCTCTTTCTCTTCCTTCCTCTCTTCCTCTCTCCCCTGCTGTTTTTGTTTTTGTTTTTGAGATGGAATCTCACTCTGTTGCCAAGGCTGGAGTGCAGTGGCTAGATCATGGGTCACTGCAACCTCCATTTCCTGGGTTCAAGTGATTCTCCTGCCTCAGCCTCCTGATTAGCTGGGACTACAGGTGCACATGTCACCACACCCGGCTAATTTTTGTATTTTTTAGTAGAGACAGTGTTTCACCATGTTGGCCCAGTTGGTCTCAAACTCCTGAGCTCAGGTTATCCGCCTGCCTTTGCCTCCCAAAGTGCTGGGATTACAGGCATGAGACACCACGCCCAGCCTGGTGCATTTAGAATGTTCCTCCTTCTCCTTCTCCTCTCCTTCTCCCCCTCTCCCTCCCCCTCCCTTCCCCCTTCCTACCCTCCCCTTCCCCCTCCTCCTCCCTCTTCTTCTTCTTCTTCCTCTTTCTTCTTTTTTCTACTCAGTCTATCCTTATCCAAGGAATGCTCTTCTTTATATTGAAGTGCAGTTAACTTCCCAGAACCATCATCCTCTTCCCTGGAGCTTCTATCATCATTCACTTATTTATCCACCATGCATCCATCCACCCATCCACACTTATTCATCATCCATCCATCCATCCATCCATCCATCCATCCATCCATCTGTCCATCCATCCATCTGTGTTTTTTTGTTCTTCCTCTCTCTCTGCCTCCTTTCAGGTTGACTCCGAGCATTGGCGCCTGAGTCTATGGGTGAATGGTTGCACCATTTCCCAAGATTGGGAAGCCAAAGGGAAGAGCAGGGTGGGGACACAAAACCAATGACATGTTACAGTTCTCTTATGGACATGCTACATTTGAGGTGTCTTTGGGACACTAAGTAGAGAGGGAATAAATGGGCAAGGTAGAGAGAGCACGTGATAGGTGTTCAGTAGGTGGTAGCTGTTTAGACATTCAGTGAGTTGCCCCATAATAATGTAATTCAAGTGAGGTGTGTGTATCATGGAAATGGTGTTGGCTCTGGAGGGCTTGGCTTGAGGTCTCAGCTCTGTCACCTTCACCTTTCTGAGTTCTGCTTTCCTCATCAGTAAGATAAGAATCCCAGTCGACTCTCTGGGAGGAGCTGGGGGATGTTGAGAGAAGCAGTTTGCAAAGCCCTGGCCATTCCTGTGGGTTCCTCAAAGAAGCAAGAAGCTAATTATTAGTGTCGAGAGGCCCCGATGCCAAAAGGAAGCACCTTCAGCCCCAACAGGGACTGGGGTTTCCTCTGGAATTCTAGCTGGAAAGACAGGTTTGACCCGGGAACTCAGCTCTGCCCTGGTGTTGGTGACAATCTTAGATCAATAGGCAGAGGGCAAGTCCCTCAGGAAAAAGACCAGTGATCCTCAAGATCCATTCTGGGGCCACTATGAGGGTCTTGCTTAACTGCATGCGTTTTCTTACTTATTTCTTTTCTTAGATGATATTTCTGGTCCAATGGAAAATATAGACATAGTGTCACGATTTCAACACAAACAAGCGAATGTGGCTGCCAAAAAATCAGATGCAGGCTTGGCTTTCATTGGAAAGGAAATCAGACTGTGTGTGGAGGGTCTCATCCTCCTTGAGCATTTCACAGGCCCTTGGAAAGAGTGGCGGCAGGAGGAGCAAAAGGAGGT
Source organism: Homo sapiens (assembly GCF_000001405.40). Lineage (NCBI taxonomy): Eukaryota > Metazoa > Chordata > Mammalia > Primates > Hominidae > Homo > Homo sapiens. The sequence goes on from NC_000002.12 coordinate 91,594,100, forward strand.
TCAGTCCAGAAGAGAGAAGGATGCGGAGGTCACAGGGTAGAAAGTGCTGCTGCCTTGCACCTGTCAGCTCCAGGCCATCCTCTGTCTTTCAGCAAGTAAGAGTCATTTCCTCTGGGAAGCCTCTCCCGATAGTTTCAGACCAGGGGCAGCCCCCATGTTGTATGGTCTCATAGCACTCTTCATTTTCTTTCTAGCACTAATCAAGCAGGATATTGTATTATTCAGTGACTGTTGGGGTAGCCAGACTGAGCCCCTAAAGGCAGAGACCCTGTCTGAATGTGCTTACCATTGTATCCCGAGCTCCTGGCACAGTGCCTAACATGTAGTAAATGCCAATTCGTAGCTACTGAATAATTGAATGATTGAATGATTGGGTGGATGGATGGATGACTAGATGGGTGGATGAATAAGTGAATGATGATAGAAGCTCCAGGGAAGAAGATGATAGTTCTGGGAAGTCAACTGCACTTCAATATAAAGAAAAACATTCTAAAGTAAGCACCAGGCCATGCGTGGTGGCTCACGCCTGTAATCCCAGCACTTTGGGAGGCTGAGGTGGGCAGATCACCTGAGGTCAGGAGTTTGAGACCAGCCTGGCCAACATGGTGAAACCCCGTCTCCACTAAAAATACAAAAAGCTGGGCATGGTGGGACACAGCAAATTATGAATCATTTGCTGGTCTCTGTTCTAGGTGCTGGGGTTTCAGCTATGAAAGGCTCTGCTCAGGTGGAGCTGATGTTCAGGTAGAGAAACAGCAATAAACAAACAGCTAATGAGCCCTCACTGGAAAGTTGGGGAGCGTGACCTGTGAGACTTAGCCCTCAACTTCTAGGAGCTTGGGGGTGGGGACAGAGTAAGCAGCACAGCACCCTTGAGCAGGGCTACCACCAGGGGCCTGGGAGGAGCCCAAGTCTGTAGGAAGGCTGCAAGGTTCAGGGAGGGGGCAACACCTGCACAGTCTTCTTTCTTTCTTTATTTTATTTTTATCTTTTAATAAGGACAGGGTCTCCCTATGTCTCCCAGGCTGGAATGAAGTGGTGTGATAATAGCTCACTACAGCCTCGAACTCTGGGGCTCAAGTGCTCCTCCCGCCTCAGCCTCCCAAATAGCTGGGACTACAGGTGTGTGCTACCACGCCTGGCTCATTTTTTAAAAATTGATTTTTGTAGAGACAGGGGTCTCGCTATGTGGAGTGCCTGTAATCCCAGCTACTCGGGAGGCTGAGGCAGGAGAATTGCTTGAAACCAGGAGGCAGAGTTTGCAGTGAGCCAAGATCATGCCACTGCACTCCAGCCTGAACAACAGAGTGAGACTCCATCTCAATGAAATAAAATAAAATAAATTAAAATAAAATAAAAATAAAACACAAATAAAGTAAGTACCAGCTGGTGATGGAAGGGTGCGCTTTGAGAGATGTTGAGCCTCCCAGCCCTGGGCTTGTCCAAGTAGAGATCAGATGGCTGCCGGTCATGATGCATTGGAAAGCATTCTTGCATGGGATAGAATGCAGACTAACTCTGTGGGACTTTCCGCCTCTAAGAGGGGGGGTTCAAGATTCTAGACTCCTAGGAGGGATTTGGGTGCCTAACAAAGAGGAGGGGGTTCCCTCTGCCATCACTAGATGGGTACCCTATGTAGTCTTTGGATTATTCTCAAGTATTGTAGCTGGTAAACTTTCTAATTGGTTCTAATGCATCAACATTTTCTTGGCGATTGAGTGATGATAATAACATCCCGCTTATAGAACTTTCTAGGTAAGGAACACTGTTCTAGGTGACTTCCATGTAATGACTCACTTAATCTCCTCAGCACCCCTATGAGATAGGTGTTATTACTGTCATTACATCTTAGAGATGGGGAAACTGAGGCAAAGGTAAGTTAAGTAATTGCGAAATTATATATGTATATATATTTATACATGCATAAATATATATGTATATGTGTATATATACTTATCTATGTATATGTGTATATATATACTTGTATATATATATTTATACATATATATGTGTTTATATAAATCAAAATCTGTTTTATTTGGGCACATGTGTGGCTGTTATAGCTTCCTCATACAGTCTTTGTGTTTTTTGTTTTTTGTTTTTTTTTTTTTGAGACAGAGTCTCGCTCTGTTGCCCAGGCTGGAGTGCAGTGGCGCGATCTTGGCTCACTGCAAGCTCTGCCTCCTGGATTCATGCCATTCTCCTGCTTCAGCCTACCAAGTAGCTGGGAATACAGGTACCCCCCACCACGCCCGGCTATTTTTTTGTATTTTTAGTAGAGACGGGGTTTCATCGTGTTAGCCAGGATGGTCTCGATCTCCTGACCTTGTGATTCGCCCACCTCGGCCTCCCAAAGTGCTGGGATTACAGGCGTGAGCCACCACACCGGACAGTCTGTCTTTTATTATATGTAGTGATAAAAGAGGAAGGATTCTTTATCCTACTTAATACATTAACTTTAAATCCCGTATGGTCTGATATTAATATTGCCATTCCAACTTTCTTTTTGTTTGCATTGCCTGATTCCTCTTTGTCCACTACTTTATTTTAAACCTTTATTACTTTGTTAAAGATGCAATTTGTGTAAAGATCATGTAACTAGGTTTTGTTTTTAATTCAATTTTCCTATTCTTGCTTACTCCTTAGTGGGAGGATTTAGATCATTCTAATTTATAGAAATAATTTATGTGGTTGACTTTTTTGTTTCCATTTTTCTTTTCGATGTTTATGATGATATATTTTACATTCCTATTTCTTCCTTTTCCTCTTCCACATTTGCCTTTTTTGAGCATTTGAAAATTTATTCTGATTTTTTATTCCATTCATGGCCATTTTTTTCTTCCCTCACTCTCATAATCTGATGCATATTACTTCATTCTTTTTTTTTGAGCCGGAGTCTCACTTTGTTGCCCAGGCTGGAGTGCAGTGGCATGATCTCGGCTCACTGCAACCTCCGCCTCCCAGGTTCAAGCGATTCTCCTGCCTCAGCCTCCAAAGTAGCTGGGACTACAGGTGCCCATCACCACACTGGGCTAATTTCTTGTGTTTGTGGTAGAGACAGGGTTTCACCATCTTGGCCTGGCTGGTCTTGAACTCCTGACCTTAAGTGTTCCGCCCATCTTGGCCTCCCAAAGTGCTGGGATTACAGGTGTGAGACACCGCGCCCAGCTGCCTATTACTTCTTTCTTATTTGAAAACAAAATATTGAACATTTCCCTCAGCAAGCCACACTGTGTCCCACTCCAAGATGTTCACTGCTCCCACTTCCTCTCTACCTAATGGGATGAGATCTTTAGGATACGTTTGCCTCCCTATTCCTTTCCCTTCTTCCCTCTCCTTTTCCATTTATTTACCTTGAGGGCTTTCAAAGGTTTTTCTTTGTTCCCTATCCAGTCCTTTTCCAACTTAGGTTTTTTGTTGTTGTTGTTGTTGTTGTTTTGTTTTGTTTTGTTTTGTTTTGTTTCAGATGGAGTCTCGCTCTGTCACCCATGCTGGAGTGCAATGGCACAATCTCGGTTGACTGCAACCTCTGCCTCTTGGGTTCACACCATTCTCCTGCCCCAGCCTCCCAAGTAGCAGGGACTACAGATGCTTGCCACCACGCCAGACTAATTTTTGTATTTTTAGTAAAGACGGGGTTTCAGCATGTTGGCCAGGCTCATCTCGAACTCCTGACCAAAGGTGATCCATCTGCCTCGGCCTCCCAAAGCGCTGGGATTACAGGTGTGAGCCACTGTGCTTGGCCGAACTTATGGGTTTTGTAGAGATAGTTAATAGAATTTAGCCTCAAAATGTCTATTCTGTATGACAAGTCTTTATAGGGCATGTAAGTTACACATCTCAGGCAGTTTATCCATTTGAATTTAAGTTCTTCTTTTCTCTCCTATTAATCTAATTATCTATCTCCATCTGTCTCTCCATCCATTATACCTCCACCCTCCTCTAGCCTTCCACAGAGTTGATTGGTCACTATAATTTGCTCTCCTCCTCATCTTCCCCTCTTTTGGGGACTCTCTTCCAGTTCACAAGCTCCTTGGTTAAAGTCCTTTGTCAGACAAGTTATGTGGATGACAGTTTTCTCTGTTCTCTGTTCAACAATCACCTCCTTTCCTGCCCATGTACCTTCAACCTCAGTCCCCTTTTCTGCTTTACTTTTCTTCATGCACTTAGCACTTCCTGACATTCTTTATGTGTTTACTATTTACCGGTTAATTTTTTGCCTTCCCCACTAGATGTGAAACTCCTCAAGGGCAGATACTCTATTTTATTGACCTTTATATCTTCAGTGCCTGGGACAATGCCTGGCCCATGGTTGCTGCTCAATAAATAGCTGTTGAAAAAATTACATTTTGTATACTTCAAACATCATTCTGCCTTTTGCCCTGACACATGGGCGACATCTTAGCTGAGAATAAGGTTTTTGAGGTGCAGTCCTTTCCTTGTGGCACATTCCTCCACTGTCTTCTGGTTTCCCAGGCTGCACAGAGGAAGTCTGTTGCCAGCTCATCTCTCTGATATTTTGTGCACACCCCAATTTATGCAATATTATACTCGCATATTTTTGTTTCTACAGCAATCTCCTATGTCTGTCTTTGAGCCCTTGGCACAATGTCTCATGCATCGTAGGAGTCCCTAAGGTGTTTGTTGTATAAACAACTGGCTGAATGAATCCATGGATGAATGGATGAACACAGGAAGAAAGGGAGGACTTAAAGAGTATATTATTGAACGCTTGGCATGTCAACCACAGAGATGGTCTAGACCAGTAGTTTTCAAAGCGGAGCCTAGATCAACAGTGGCAGCCCCACTTGAAAACTTGTTAGAGATGAAAATTTTGGGGCACCACCCAGACCTACTAAATCAGAAACTCTGGAGGTGGAGCCCAGGAATTTGTGTTTTAACAAGCCCTGCAGGTGATTCTGATGCAGTTTCCAGTTTGAGAACCACTGCTGTAGACCATCTGCATTTTCTGTATGGGAATCCTGAGGCTGGGAGCAGGAAGTGACTCATGTATTCTGTGAGTGTCCAGGTCTCCGTACTTTCAGGCCTGTACTCTTGCCACTCAGCCACGCTGCCTCACCTGATCTTGCTATGTTTTTTGTAATTAAAACCAACCACGTATTTGTCAAAACATTTCAAAGCACTGGGATTGAATCTCCACTCTTACAAAGTTTCCGATTTCATTGGGGTGTTTTCAGGATTAAAAATGTGAGTTAGAGTTGTTTCTATAAGGCTTTGAGCGGTGGAAAAGTGCCAGGCGATTGCATTACTTTTCAGAGGAGGCTTCTCAGGCTGGGGCTGTAACGTTATAGCCCAATGTTATGGCTCATGCCCTCCTCTCTGCTCAGTGCCTTAATGCATGTCATACATGATCCAGTTTCCTCCTGTTGGTAGGAGCAAATGTGTAAATGGCAGTCAATGCTAGCCCAGGAGGGAGATGAGGAACTCTGACTTGATCAAGCACTCATGATCATTGCCTTTTTCTCACTAATTTCTTCATTTGTCACCAAGTGTCTTTTTAATGTATTTTGTACATTCCTTTCCAGTCTTTTTTATATGCAAATTTTTTATTAGTTTGTCTTTATATTTTGGGCAGCCATGCTCATTATAATATCAAAGATTGCTTCCTTTCCTCAGTACACCTAGCACAGGCCCTTCCTCAGCTACTACTATAGAGCCCTTACCCATCTATTTTTTTTTTTCTAATATACTTTCAGCCAGGCTCAGTGACTCATGCCTGTAATCCCAGCACTTTGGGAGGCTGAGACAGGCGGAGCACTTGAGGCCAGGAGTTTAAGACCAGCCTGACCAGCACACCTGTAATCCCAGGTACTTGGGATTGAGGTTGAGGCACAAGAATCACTTGAACCTGGGAGGTGGAGGTTGCAGTGAGCCAAGATCGTGCCACTGCACTCCAGCCTGGGCGACAGAACAAGACCCTGTCTCAAATAAATAAATAAATAAACTTTCCATTTTAGAAAAGCTTTAGATTTATGGAAAAGTTGCAAAGACAGTTCAGAGAATTCCTGTATACCTGTATGACCTGCACACTCTGCACTCTTATTTCTTATTATTTCTTATTAATATATATATATTTTGAGACAGAGTTTCACTCTTGTTGCCCTGGCTGGAATGCAATCATGCAATCTCGGCTCACTGCAACCTCCACCTCCCGGGTTCAAGTGATTCTCCTGCCTCAGCCTCCGGTGTAGCAGGATTACAGGCATGCACCACCACACCCGCTACTTTTGTATTTTTTAGTAGAGATGGGGTTTCTCCATGTTGGTCAGGCTGGTCTCGAACTCCCAACCTCAGGTGATCCACCCACCTCGGCCTCCCAAAGTGCTGGGATTACATATGTGAGCCACTGCACCCGGCCAGCTGCACTCTTATTCTTTAGAGAACAGGATTTTAGGATTAGAGAATTGAGATTTTTGAGTAGAGCAGTGACATTCTTAGATTTCTCCTTTTTGAAAAAGCTTCTGGGAGCATTCTGTTGACTGCACCAGGCTTCGTTGATTGTGTATCATTTGTCAGACTCTAGGCTATGGGGTGGGTACAATGATGAACAGGACACAACACCTGCCTTCTAGTTTTACCTTCGCAGCTCAACAGTAGAATTTGTTTATTTATTTAGAAATAATTATTATGTTATTTTTGGGTAGAGATGGGGTTGCTTAGGCTCTTGGCCTCAAGTGATCCTCCCGCCTTGGCCTCCCAAAGTGCTGGAATTACAGGCATGAGCCACCATGCCTGGGCTAGAATTTATTTTATTAATATATTTTTAATTATGGTAAAACATGCATTTATATACATAAAATTTACCAACTTAGCAGTTTTCAAGTGCACAGCTCAGTGGTGTTAAGCACATATGCACTGTTGTGCAACCAACCTCCAGAACTTTTTCATCTCGCAAAACTGAAACTCTGTCCTCATTAAACACTAACTCTTCATTCTTCCCTCCCTCTAGCACCTGGCAACCACCATTCTATTTCTGTCTATGAATTTGCTTACGTTTGATACCTCATATAATGAAATCCTACAGTATTGTCCTTTGGTGGTTGAGTTTATTTTACTTAGCATAATGTCCTCATGGCTCATCCATACTGTATCGTGTGTCAGAATTTCCTTCCTTTTTAAGCTGAATAATATTCTGTTGTATGTCTATACCTCATTGTGTTTATCCATCCATCTGTTGATGGATGTTGGGTTGCTTCCACCTTTTGGATACTGAAAATAATGCTGCTATGAACAGGAGAATACAGATATCCCCTCAGGTCCCTGCTTTCCATTCTTTTGGGTATATACTCAGAAGTGAAAATGCCAGATCATGCCATAATAGTATTTTCAATTTTTTGAAGGCCCTCCCTACTGTTTTCAGTAGTAGCTGTACCAATTTACATTCCTACCAACAGAGCACTATTTCTCTATATCCTCACCAATGCTGGTTATTTTCTATTATTTTCTTTTTTTTTTTTTTTGATAGTAGCCATCCTGATAGTGTGAAAGTATTTTGTAGTTTTGATTTGCATCTCTCTAATAATTAGTGATGGTGAACATCTTTTCATGTACTTGCTGGCCATCTTTATGTCTTCTTTGGAGATATGTTTATTCAAGTCCTTTGCCAATTTTTAAATTGGCTTTTGTCATTGTTGATTGATCGATTTTTGGAGACAGAGTTTCGCTCTTGTTGCCCAGGAGTGCCATGGCATGATCTCGGCTCACTGCAACCTCTGCCTCCCTGGTTCAAGGGATTCTCCTGCCTCAGCATCCCAAGTAGCTGGGAATATAGGCATGCACCACCATACCAGGCTAATTTTTGTATTATTAGTAGAGACAGGTTTCACCACATTGGCCGGACTGGTCTCCAATTTCTGCCCTCAAGTTATTCACCCTCCTCGGCCTCCCAAAGTGCTGGGATTACAGGTGCGAGCCACTGTGCCCAGCCCATTGCTGTCAATGTATAAGAATTCTCTATAAATTCTCTCATAGCAGCATTATTTTCAGTATCCAAAAGGTGGAAGCGACCCAGCATCCATCAACAGATAGATGGATAAACACAGTGAGGTATAGACATACAACAAAATATTATTCGGCTTAAAAAGGAAGGAAATTCTGACACACGATACAGTATGGATGAGCCATAAGGACATTATGCTAAGTAAAATAAACTCAACCACCAAAGGACAGTACTGTACGATTTCATTATATGAGGTATTTAATGTAAACAAATCTGTATATTGTGGATATTAATGACTTATTAGGTATATAATTTGCTAATGTTTTCTCCAGTTCTGTGGGCTGTCTTTCCACTTCGTTGGTAGCATCCTGTGATGTGCAAAAATTTTTCATTTTCATGTAGTTCGTCTTATTTATTTTAATTTTTGTTGCTTGCATTTTTGGTGTCATAGCCAAGAAATTATTGCCAAAGCCAATGTCATGAAGCTTTCTCCCATGTCTTCTTTTACAAGGTTTATACTTTTATGTTTAGATCTTTTATCTGTTTTGAGTTAATTTTTGTATATGCTGTAAGGTGAGGGTTCAAATTCATTCGTTTGCATGTGGACATCCAGTTTTCCCACATTTGTTGAAAAGACTGCCCTTTTCCCATTGAATGGTCTCAGCACCCTTGTGAAAAAAATCATTTGACCATATACATAAGGGTTTCATATGTAATATAATTTATTTTGAAATGACATCAATGTATATTAATGGAATGTGTGTGTTTCCACTTCCCCCTTTATCCCACATTTAGGTAGTATCACATTGTTTGCAGTCATTACCATCATCCTGGGATGCCTTAAAATTAGATACTTCATTGGATTTTCAGAATGTTTATCAGCCACTGAAGGAGTTTTCCCTGTCACCCATTCAGTGCATACTTTGTTGCAGGTAAACCACTGATGTTTATTCATGTTGTCTCATTCCTGTGGAGTGTATCCCAGGTTGTGTAGAAACTTGTAACATCGAGACATGTGGCAAGTGGAGACAGTGTGCACAGCTGTGAACTGCAGTGAACTGAGGTGAACTGAAGTCTATCTTTGAGGCTTAATTCTTCAGCTGCCTCCATTGCAAAATAAAACTCTGTGTCCCCATGGCCATTTTTGCAGGGATCCTATGAGGCAGAACTTCTAATGATGAAGAGTCAGGAAATTCTGCCAAGCCAGGGTCTACAGTAAAAGCTTGAGGGAGTTTTATTTTCTGGGTATGTAACAGGTTTATTGAGAGAATTCACATGGCATATAATTCAGCCATTTAACATGTGGAATTCAACGGTTTAGTCTGTTCATAGAGTTATGCAACCATTGCCAAAATCAATTTTATTTTTAAAAAAAATTTAATATTCTTCCTACATAGAAACCTTGTGCCATTACAATGCCTCCTCTGGGTCATGGAAGCGCTTTTGTTTTCTTGTTTGGGGATTAAAGTCTTTTAGAAATGTATGAGGATTTTTTCCCACAGCATTGGTAAACTTGGTATGGCTCAGAAGGAAGGATTTGATAAATATAATTTAAATACATAGCTTAGGGTCAGAAAAATCTCATGGTTGAAAAGAATGTTAGATGGGCTTTCAGGGTAGTGTTCGCCCTTGGCAGAAATCCGTGGTAATGTTATCAGAGTCAGGATCTGAATTGTTGAATTGTCAGTCTCATTTTTTTTTTGTTTTTTGTTGTATATGTTTAAGGTATACAACATGATTATTTGATATTCCTATCCATAGTGAAGTGATTACTACAGTCAAGCATATTTATGTCTGTCATCTCACATAGTTGCCTTTCTTTTTTTGGATGTGGTAAGAGCACCTAAAATCTATTCTCTTAGCAAATTTCCAGTATACAATACAATAGTATTAACTACAGTCTTCACGTTGTCCATTACATCTCTAGAATTATTCATCTTACGTATTTGCAACTTTGTACCCTTTGACCAAAATCTTCTAATTTTTCCCCTCCAACTACCATTCTACTCTTTATGTTATTTTGTTTTTATTTATTAATTTAATTCAATTTTAGAGACAGGGTCTTGCTCTGTTGCCCAGGGTAGAGTGCAGTGGTGCCATCACGGATCACTGCAGCCTTGAATTCAGCTCAAGTGATCCTCCCGCCTCAGTCTCCCTAGTAGCTAGGACTACAGGCCCACATCACCATGCCCAGCTTCTACCATCTGTTTTTATGCATTGGATTAAAAACATTTTTCTAGATACCACATATAAGTGAGATTATGCAGTATTTTTCTTTCTGTGTCTGCCTTATTTCACTGAGCACAATGTCCTCCAGATTTGCCCATGTTGTTGCAAATGGCAGGCTCTGCCCTCATTTTTTTCTAACGAAGAAGTTGGAGCTCAGAGAAGACAAGTGACTTGCTCAAAGTCACTGCGGAGACACAATGATTATTTTCTTCCTGACAAGTCACCCTGGAAGACCATGAACTTGTTCTGGTGATACTGCCATTGCTGGAAATATTTTTGGATTTCCAGTTTGAGAAGGTTCTTTGGAAAGTTTTCTACCTCTAGAAAACCAGGGATGACATTTTTAAAACTTCATCTTTTATCCAAAGTGACCGTCAGCTTGTACCCCCAGCTGACTTACCGGACAGCACTGGATGACCTTAGAGTGTTTCTCTAGATCAAACACATTCTCAAACAGTGAAGCTAACAGACAGAACATGCCCAGTGAGCCTGGAAACAGTTTAGCTCCCTGGTGGCATGGTGGGATCACTGGGGAGCTTGCTGAGGGGCTCATTTGGAGGGGCTGCCTTGCACTTGAAAGCTTTATGAACTGAGTCATATCCCCTGTGAAATTCATATGCTGAAACCCTCATTCTCAGTACCTGAGCATGTGACTGTATTTGGAGATAGGGTCGTTTAGAGGAGATTGAGGTTAAATAAGATCATTAGGCTGGCCCAAATTCAATATGCTTAGTGTCTTTATTTTTTATGTTTTTGAGATGGAATTTTGCTTGTTGCCCAGGCTGCAGTGCAATGGCATAATCTCGGCTCACTGCAACTTCCGTCTCCTGGGTTCAAGCAATTCTCCTGCCTCAGTCTCCCAAGTAGCTCGGATTACAGGCACCTGCCACCATGCCCAGCTAATTTTTGTATTTTTAGTAGAGATGAGGTTTCACCATGTTGGCCAGGCTGGTCTCGAACTCCTGACCTCAGGCAATCCACCTGCCTCGGCCTCCCAAAGTATTGGGATTACAGGCGTGAGGCACCGCGCCTGGCCCTGGTGTCTTTATAACAAGAGGAGAGAAGGACACAGACACACACAGAGAGACAGCCATGTAAAGACACTGGAGGAAATTGACCATCTACAAGCCAAAGAGAGAGGCCTCAAAAGGAACCAACCCTGCCCATACCTTGATCTTGGATTTCTAGCCCCAGGACCCTGAGAAGAGAAATTCCTGTTATTGAAGTTGATGATCTGTGGTCCTTTGTTATGGCAGCCCAAGCTGATCAAAGATAACTGGCTGCTCATTCCAGGGGAGCCAAATCCCGTGAAGACAGAGCCTTATAGTGATACAGTGACAATGTGGAAAGCTTTCGTGAGGCCAGAACGAACTGCATTCGTTCATTCATTTATTTTTCTTGCAGTTCATCTTTAAATACTGGATGAACATTGTTCTCAGCATGGGGAATACAAGGCTGCAAAGTCTGTGGCACACACCGTGGGGGTGTCAGTTAGGTGAGAGGCAGTCCCCAAAACAGTGACAACGCTGGGCTCAGTGCTTTGACCAGAGTGTCCCAGAGCAATGAGGGAGCACAAAGGAGGGCATTTCGGCAGCTTGGGGTGAGAGTCAATTTCTGCCAGAGAAGGTCCCAGAACCGTTTGTGAGAGAGGGAGGAGCACAGGGTTAGTGGGTCAGAGGCCACTGGAAGAGGGTGTCTTTGGGACATGCAGTCTTTCCTCACAGTGGGGTAGCGGGAGGATGTGTGGGCACAGGCTGGATCCCTGTTTGGTGTAGGGCTTGTAAGCTTGCACTCTGGTCAGATTGCATGACTCTGGCTCTGACCACAGCTGTGTGACTTCAGGAAAATTATTTAACTTCTCTGGGCCTCATGGGTCTTACTTGCAAGGTGAGGACAATCACAGTACCTACTTCATGGGCTCGTTGTAGAGATTAAAGGCACATGTGTATGAAAAGCACTTGGCACAGGGCTAGGTGTGCAGCAAATTCTTGGTCAAGGCTGACCACCACCTAGGGGCTTGGGCTTCACCTCAAGGGCAGTGGGGAGCCACTGAAGGCTTTAGGCAGAAGAATGACTGGGACAGATATGAATTTTCAAAATATCCCTCTTAGTTGGTGGGTTGGAGATCCTAGCTTTCTAATTTAAGGCCTTTTATTGGCCAGGCAAGTCAATTAATTAATAATTCTATACCTGTTGGACACTTACCATGTGCTTTTGCTACATTAGATGACTGGCGAATGGAAAAAAGTATATATAACAATTAGGCGCTGTTCTAAAAAACAGAGCATTTATTTTAAAATTGTGGCAAATACTGAAAAACCCGTAGATATCAGGATGAAATCGCTTTTGTCAGACCCAGGCAAAATAGGCCTGGGAAAGCGCTAAGGAGAGGGCACTTCTGTCTACGTGTCTGAGATACAAAGTGTTTCCAAAGACTTTCTAAAAACCCTTCATGCATCTCCTGCTTTGAAGAGGTTGGACATTACTAGACATTCATTAGGACTGCAGTAAAGCAGATAAGATGCTCTTGGAAGAACACTTGTCCAGCACTGGCATCTCCACCAATGAACTGATGACAACTCTGGCTTTGAGCCTCTAGAACCGATGAACTTTTTTTCTCTGTGGATTATGTAAATCTCTCTTTGCTAATAACAGCTCCTCCTTACCCTTCCCTCACCGAATGCGCTGGTGGCTTGCCATTCCATGCATTCTGGACTGTAATTCCTATTTCCAAGTAAATCCAACATATTTAGCGATAATTTTCTCTAATGTCTTTTTTTTTCAGGTTGACAATCACATAACATTTACCATCTTAGTCATTTTAAGCATATGGTTCATTAATGTTAAGTACATTCACTTGTTGTACAACCAATCTGCAAACGTTTTTCATCTTGCAAAACTGAAACTCTGAGCCCACTAAACAACTCTCTATTTCCTCCTCCTCTGGCTTTTGGCAAACTCTGTTCTACTTTCTGTCTTTATGAGTTTGAATATTCTAGATGCCTCGTATAAATTGAACCATACAGTATTGGTCTTCTTGTGTCTGGCTTATTTCTCACAGCATAAAGTTCTCAAGGGTCATCCATGATGTAGCCAGAATCATGGCTGAGAAGGAGCCGTGTATTTGTGTGCACATGTCTGTCTCACCCTATGGTGCCTGAGGCTCTCCCAGGGCTGCTTGAGAACTGAGTCCTTGTGTTTTTCAGGTTTGGGGTGATCCACTTGGTGTTCACCAACCTGCTTCTGTGGGCCAACGGCGTCCTCAATGAGTCAAAGCACCAACTCAATGAGCACAAGGAATGGCTCATCACTCTGGGCTTTGGGAACATAACAACAGGTGAGTGCTGAGAGAGGTGAGTGACCCCTCTGCCATGTTGGAATGTCTTGGAAACCTGCAGAGTCCACAGTGTTCAGAGATGGAGTGTAGGTTCCAAAGAACTTCAGGCCCACCAAAGTCAGCATCAGCCAGACAGCCCCCTGTTGTTGAAAATCTTCCAAAACCTGAATCTCTCATAAGTGATGTGTACTGAGCATAATTAAGGTTTCTTCCATGACTCAGGGACTTGTAAGACCCACGGTGATCATTCTGATGGCCATTTCTCATGGTCCAGTTTGCCGCAGAAATAAATGTCTTTGTTTTCAACTACAGAAGATTGATGGTTGCCTCTGCTTGTGTTTTTAATTAAACCTCTATTACCAGTTCTTTCTAGTAAAAGTATGGCTTTTAAAAATTCATAAAAGTCTAATGGTAGGTTGTGGTTAATAGGCTGTGGTTCATTTAAAGTTTTAATTTAACTGTAGTTGGCTTATAATTCTAGCTCATGTCTGTTCTACCTTGTTCCTATTTGAGAGCCTGTTGGGTTAATCTTTATATTTTCATCTAAAATCCTTTAGCATTTACAATATGTCACTTCTATATGAGAACATTCAGGCTGAGGGGAATGTGGGGCAGGGAACTGGGTGTCTCAGGTTTGTTCCCATCATGTACAAGCTGTGTGACCTTTAGAAGACTTTTAATCTCTCTGAGCCTCCCTTTTCTCATTTGTAAAGTGAGGGTATCCAAATCATGCACTTGCAAAGATCCCTTCCAGCTTTAACATGCAGCAAGTCTGTGACAGCTGTGTGAACCCAGGCTGTCCTGGAGAGCCACTTTGAACCTGTTTTGTCATCAGTGGGGTGGAGACAACGAAGTCACCACCCCCAACCAGCAGGCACTCGGTGTTTGGGCCTCATGTCCTCTTTGGTATCAATATTAGTAGCAGCAATGACAACAATAACAAAAGTAAATTTTTATTAAGCATTTGCTGAGTGCCTGCCACTGTTGTTGGAAATTTACACATGTCATTTAATTTGTACCCCCACACTCTCTGGTAGGCTATATATGTGTGTATATGTATGTGTATATATATATATATATATATATATATATATATATATATATATATATATATATATTGTTGTTTGTTTGTTTGTTTTGAGACAGAGTCTCACTCTGTCGCCTAAGCTGGAGTACAGTAGCGTGATCTCGGCTCACTGCAACCTCTGCCTCCCATGTTCAAGTGATTCTCCTGCCTCAGCTTCCTGAGTAGCTGGGACTACAGGTGCGTGCCACCATACCTGGCTAATTTTTGTATTTTTAATAGAGACGGGGTTTCACTATGTTGGCCAGGCTGGTCTCCAACTCCTGGCCTTGTGATCCGCCAGCCTTGGCCTCCCAAACTGTTGGGATTACAGGCGTGAGCCACTGCGCCTGGCCTCAGGTAGACAATATTAACCTCATTATATGGATGAAGGCATCAAGCCACGGAGAAGTTAGCCCAGGGTAACACAGTGAACATGTGATACAGCCATGATTTGAATCCTAACAATCTGGCTTCAAGGCCCTCTGTGAAAGATGAGGTTGGATTAATTTTCTAAAAAAGGACTCTGTCAGCTGTAACATTCTGTTACTCTGAACTTTTCCTCCTGATTTCTTCCCTTGTCTTCTGCATAACACCGTATTGAATTGTAAGTGCTAGGGAAGCCCTGTGTGAATTGAAGATTATTACTGGGGCAGTGACTCACACCTGTAATCTGAGCACTTTGTAATCCTAAGGCAGGAGCATTGCTTTAGCCTAGGAATTTGAGACCAGCCTGGGCAACAAAGGGAGACCCCAGCTCTGGAAAAAAAAAAAAAAAAGCCAGGCATGGTGGCATGGGCTCGTGGTCCCAGCTATAGCTACATGGGAGACTGATGCAGGAGGATCACTTGAGCCCAAGAAGTCAAGGCTGCAGTGAGCTGTGTTTGTGCCACTGCACTCCAGCCTGGGCAACAGAGGGAGACCCTATATAAAAAAGAATAAAAAAAGAAAAAGAAAATTTCATAGTGTTCTGTGAAAGTAAAATTAATGCTACGATATAGTTTTTCTCAGATTTTTTTTTTTTTTAGACGGAGTCTCGCTTGTCGCCCAGGCTGGAGTGCAGTGGCATGGTCTCGGATCATTGCAAGCTCTGCCTCCCGGGGGTCACACTCTTCTCCTGCCTCAGCCTCCTGAGTAGCTGGGACTACAGGCGCCCACCATCACGCCTGGCTAATTTTTTGTATTTTTAGTAGAGACAGGGTTTCACCATGTTAGCCAGGATGGTCTCAATCTCCTGACCTTGTGATCTACCTGCCTCGGCCTTCCAAAGTGCTGGGATTACAGGCATGAGCCACCACACCCAGCTGCTTTTCTCAGATTTTGTAAGTAATATATACATATCATAAACTAAAACAATGACAAAGTGTGAAGCAAAAAAATCCACAACACTTACCCAGAAATGCAGTAAGTGCTGCGAATGTTTGGTTATTTTTTTGTAGTGTGCCATTTATTTATAGTTGATTTTATACTATATATTTGATCTTTTTTTATTGCAACCTTCAATAAGAGACAGATTTTACACTGTAATCCAAACACACACATACTTATGTGTGTATGCTTGATGAAATAATACTTAATTTTACTGTATCAGAGATGCTTCCAAATTTTATCGGAGTTGATTCCACTCCATTCTATCCCATTCTAGTCCACTGAAAATTATTTCTGCTACAAAAAAGTTGGTTGCTACCTGATTTTGCAGCCTTGTACTGGGTTGTGACTTGCATTAAAGAAATATACAGTTTGTTCTTACTTTTTTCCATTTTCCTTGAAACGAGATTACTTTCTTAATATTAAAACACATCCTGGCTGGGTGCAGTGGCTCATGCCTTTAATCCCAGAACTTCGGGAGGCTGAGGTGGGCAGATCGCATGAGCTCAGGAGTTCAAGACCAGCCTAGCCAACATGGCGGAACGTTGTCTCTACAAAAAATATAAAAATTAGCTGGGAGTGGTGGCATGGGCCTGTGGTCCCAGCTACTCAGCAGGCTGAAGTAGGAGGATGCTTGAGCACAGAAGGCTGATGTTGCAGTGAGCCAAGATTGTGCCACAGCACTCCAGCCTGGGCAACAGAGGAGGCTCTGTCTCAAAACAAACAAAAAACAAACCCCCCCCCCATACCCAAAACCATAAAGCACATCTTAATTATAACGTGCAGTGGCTGTCTACTATCTCATTGTTGGGATATACTAAAATTTACTTAACAATTTCTAAATTGTTGGACTTTGAGCTGTTCCTCTCTCTCTCTCTCTCTCTCTCTCTGTCTCTCTCTCTCTCTCTCACACACACACACACACAAACACACACAATTTTACCTGACTTTTTTTAAATTATTTTTTGAGACTGAGTCTCACTCTGTCACCTAGGCTGGAGTGCAGCGGTGCGATCTCAGCTGACTGCAACCTCTGCCTCCCAGGCTCAAGCGATTCTTCTGCCTCAGCCTCCCCAGTAGCTGGTATTACAGGCTTGCCACCACACCTGGCTAATTTTTGTAGTTTTAATAGAGATGAGGTTTCACCATGTTGGCCAGGCTGGTCTCGAACTCCCGACCTCAAGTGACCCACATGCCTTGGCCTCCCAAAGTGCTGGGATTACAGGGCTGAGTCACCACTCCTGGCCTTACCTGACTCTTTGATTACATTTTTATTTGTCCCTTTGAGTAGAAGGGTAGAATGGAAAGAATGGAATTATGGGTCAGAGACTGCATCGCCTTCAGGGCTTTGGTGACCTGTTTCGTCATTTACTTGCAGCATCTGCCCTCCTGTGATGAGAGGGCCCTCCATATGACAGCCAGCTTCTCTTCCAGAAGGTGGTGCCCGTTTACTTTCCCCGCACTGATATCAGAGAGCACCTGTCTCCTGCATGCTTGCTAGCACTGGAGTCTTAAGAGGCATATCTTTTGCTAATTAAAAGGGGCATTTTCTCCAGAAAGTATTTTTTAAAAATAATCTTAAAAAATCACACATGTAAATCATCTTCACAGAAAAAATTTAGAAAATACAGGGAAGCAAAATCTAGAAGAGGTTAAAAATCATCTGTCATTTTTCCACCCAGAGATAACAATTGTTGACATTTTAGTTTGTGTCCTTCCAGGTTTTTTCTGTCTGTCTGTGTGTGTGTGTATCCATCTATCTATCTATCATCTACATATCTATTTTTTACAACAATAGAGTCATCTTCTCTATCCTCTTTGGCAACTCACCAAATAAATGTGATTTAGGTAATGAATATGCTTTGGGGATACTCAGGGCTATCAAATTAGCCATCATATTAAACGTGATAATAAGCCATGACATGAAAAAGCTTGTAATCCAGTGGGAAGACTCAAGCCTGAATCCACAGTGGAAACAGTTTTCTGTGCTTTTCTGCTTCCCCTTGCACCTGCTAATAGCCCCTCTGTGTGATCAACCTGTCTCCCCTAGTTTTAGATGACCACACACCGCAGTGTAACTGCACGCCCCCAACTCTCTGCACCACCATCTCCCACGGGATCTACTATAACTACTACCTCTACCCCTTCAACATAGAGTATCAGATCCTGGCCTCCACAGTGCTCTACGTCCTATGGAAGAACATCGGGCGCAAAGTTGACAGCCATCAGCACCAGAAGATGCAGTTCAAGCCTGATGGGGTCACGGTGGGCACAGTCCTGGGCCTGACCGCGCTGGCTGCCACCATTGCCGTGGTGGTGGGTGGTGTACCTGATTCATATTGGGTGCTCCAAGACCAAGAGCGAGTCAGCACTCATCACGTTCTACCTGTATGTCATCACCCTGATGATGCTTATGGGGGCTGCGGGGCTGGCTGGAATCCGGATTTACAGGACAGATGAGAAGTCACTGGATGAGTCCAAAAATCCGCCCCGCAAACTGGACTCGGACCTCTTGGTGGGCACTGCCTCAGGCTCCTGGCTTATCTCCTGGGGCTCAATCTTGGCCATCCTTTGTGCCGAGGACCACCCCCACTACACCTGGTACAACCTGCCCTACTCCATCGTGGTGATCATGGAGAAGTACATCCAGAACCTCTTCATCTTTGAATCCATTCACCGAGAGCCTAAAAAACTCTCTGAGGACATCCAAACCCTTCGGATGGTCACAGTCTGCAATGGCAACACCATGCCCCTTGCTTCCTCCTGCCTCAAGAGTGGAGTTGTGGCCGGAGACGTGGCTCCCTGGGGCAGGGACATGCCACCAGCAGCCAATGGAAATGTGTGCCTGAGAGAAAGTTGTGACAAGGAGGAGAAGCAGGAGGAGAGCAGCTGGGGAGGGAACCCAAGCCCAGTCCACCTTCCTCGTTTCTTACAGGGCAACGCCAAGAGAAAAGTCCTGAGGAATATTGCAGCCTTCTTGTTCCTCTGCAATACTTTGGTAATCTGCACCAAGTTATTCTTATTCTTTTAATTTTGCTGTAAACTTTCATTTTAGGTTCAAGGGGTACGCATGCAGATTTGTTACATGGGTAAATTGCGTGTCGCTGAGGTTTGGTGCACAAATGATCCCGCCACCCAGGTAATGAGCATAGTACCCGATAGGTAGTTTTTCACCCTGCACCCCACTTCTGACCTCTCCCCCTAGTAGTCCCTAGTAGTGTCTATTGTTCATATATTTGTGTTCATGACTACCATTAGCTCCCACTTATAAGAGAGGACATGAGGTATTTGGTTTTCTGTTCCTGTGTTAATTCACTTAGGATAAGGACTCCATTTCTATCCAGGTTGCTGCAAATAATGTGATTTCATTCTTTTTTAAGGCTGCATAATATTCCATGGTGTAGAGCTACCACATTTTCTATTTTTTTTTTTTTTGAGAGAGGGTCACGCCCCATTGCCCAGGCTGGAGTGCAGTGGCATGATCACAGCTCACTGCAGCTTCGACCTCCTGTGCTCAAGCAATCCTCCCATCTCAGCCTCCTGAGTACCTGGGACCACAGGCATGTGCCACTACACCTGGTTAATTTTAAAAACTTTTTTTGTTTTTGAGACAGAATTTCACTCTTGTTGCCTAGGCTACAGTGCAATGGTGCTCACTGCAACCTCTGCCTCCCGAGTTGAAGTGATTCTCTTGCCTCAGCCTCCAGAATAGCTGGGATTACAGGCACCTGCCACCACAGTTGGCTAATTTTTGAAAATATTTTTAGTAGAGATGGGGGTTTCACCATGTTGGCCAAGCTGGTTTCGGACTCCTGACCTCAAGTGATCCACCTACCTTGACCTCCCAAAATGCTAGGATTACAGGTGTGAGCCACCATGCCTGGCCAAAACTTTTTTTTTTTTTTTGTAGAGATAGGTTCTCACTGTGCTGCCCAGGCTTGTCTTGAACTCCTGCGCTCAAACAATCCTCCTGCCTCAGCTTCCTAAAGTGCTAGTATTACAGATGTGAACCACTGTACCCGGCCATAATACATTTTCTTTATCCAGTCCATTATTGATGGACATCTAGGTTTCTCTTGCCTTTTTAAAATAAGGAATGGAGGCAGCTTGTAATAAAAATACTGTAAGTATAAAATTACAATATAAGGCTGGAAAATAGACCTATATTCTACAAATCTACCTACTGAAGACTTGCTGTGTGCTAGGGGCTGGGCTAGGTACTAAAGATTAAAGTGGAAAGACTCAGTCTCTTTCCTCTAAAAGGTCTCAGTATAATGGGGGAGGGAGACAATGAGCAAATCTAATATAGTGAACAGGACAAGTGCTGAGATGGGCTTGTGCAAGGTGTACTAGGAGCAGGGATCCAGAAGGACTTCAGTGAGTAGTGAGTGCTTGAGGTGAGGCCCAGTGTCAATCAGGAGTGCTTTTAGTTGCAAGTGACAGGCAATTTGATTCACAGTGTCTTCAGTCTTAACAATGTTTAATTATCTCCTGAGAATTCCAGAGGTTGGCTGCTTGGGGTTGGCCTGGCAGCTGAACCGTGTCATCAGGCATCCAGGCACTGTTCATCTTGTCACTTGGGTCGTGTGGTGTTTGTTGCGACATGGTCATGAGATGGCTGCAGCTGCACCAGGCATCACATCTGGGTTCAAGACAGAAAGCAGTGGGGAAGGGCTGGTGCCAGACAATGTCTCTCATGTGGGCACCCCTCACTGCAAGGGAGGCTGGGGAAGTGGACGGTTTGCTTCCCAGCCTCTCTGATGGAAGGTAGCAAGGGAGAGGAAGGTGTACAGTCACTCACCCATCTGTCTGCATCAGCAAGGAATGACTGGAAGTTCACCAGGTTATCAAGGCGGGGAAAAGCATTTCAGGCAGAGACACACAATATGTGAAGACACAGAGGCAAAAGACACCATGGCATGTTTTGAGAGCACCAAGTAGTTTGGCATAAATTCCATGTGTGTTAAGCAGAGTAGCAGAATGGGAAATAGGAGAGAGGGCCCAGGTAGGTGGACTCTGGCTTGAGCAGGGCTTCCTAGGCCTGGCTGGAGTCTAGTCTTTATGCTGAGGGCAAGGGAAGACTCTCTCAGATTTGTGTTTTGGAATGATCCTCCCAGTAGCTGTGTGTAGCAAGGATGGAGACAGATAGGGCCAGAAGCAGAAAGACTGGGAGAGAAAGCCCTGCAACAGCCCAGGCAGGAAGGGGAGGAGCTTGAACTAGGGCAGTGATGGAGGGATGGAGAGAAGAAAAAGGAATAAGAAGCATTGTGTGCTGTTGGGATTTTTTTAAAGACACATAAAGGAAGGATGGTGGGGGTCAGTAAGAAGGAGGGGGAAGCAGCCTTTGCCACCGCATGAGTCTCTGCAGTGATGGTGACTGGTGGCTGGAGGGGAGTGCCCCAGTCCACAGAGGTGCCTGCCCATCACTCTGGGTGAAGTCAGCTCTGTGCTACTAGCCTCTGTTATCAAGCCTGCTCCCTGTTGCCCCAGCAGCTCAGAGGCTTTTGAGCTTCCTCCCCTGAATTTCAGATGGTGCATATGGGGCCTGCAGCTTTTGATATCACCCTAAGAACACAAAGTTGGGAAAGTAAGTCCCTTCTAAAGTCAGAATGGCTGTGTGTCTGCCAAGCAAACCTGATCCACCCTAGCCTTGGATCACCCAGGTTCCTTCAGTTTGTTAGGCAGTGAGGAGGGGCTCTGAAGGTGGAAGGCCCAGAAGAGTTTGGCTGCAGGGAGACCCTCTTCTCCATCTAACAGACATTTGCCAGGCACCTGCTGTATGCCAGGGACTATGTCAGGGGCACAGCAGTGAGTCAAAAATTGAAAGAGTTAACAAGAGAGATAGATACTGTAAGCTGCATTTTTTTGAGGTGCATATTCCAAAATGCAAATTCTTATAAAGTCAGAGCTAGTTCTAGAATCTTCCTCAAGTATATGCTTTTTGTACATATCCTGTGATTAATATTAATATACATATATTTTGAGATGGAGTCCTGCTGTGTTGCCCAGGCTGTAGTGCAATGGTGCGATCTCGGCTCACTGCAACCTCCACCTCCTGGGTTTAAGTGATTCTCCTGCCTCAGCCTCCCGAGGAGGTGGGACTACAGGCATGCAACAACCATGCCCAGCTAATTTTTCTACTTTTAGTAGAGACAGGGTTTCACTAGGTTGGTCAGGGTGGTCTCGAACTCCTGACCTCAGGTGATCTGCCTGCCTAGGCCTCCTAAAATGCTGGGATTACAGGCGCGAGCCACTGCTTCTGACCTAATATTTCTTTTTAAAACTAAGTTCTGAAAAGTTGTCTTTCCCTGGTTGCCTTTTTGGTTGACCACTGGGTGAAATACTTGGCTTGCATTTTTGGACCCACTTGAAGAAAGATAGCACTGTCTGAAATACCAGAATCAAGTGGCAATTCATGGTCTGTCAGGACCCGAAAGCCAGACCCAGGGCCCAGTCCAAGGAGAAGGGTGGGCTCCGTCTCTTCCTCCCTGTGCTTGGCCCATGATGCCCCCAGGCACTGGTTGGGTTCTGGGGGGTTGAACCAGAGGATGGAAATCATCGCAGGGTGGAGTCTTAGGATACCCGTGCTGGCTCATGGGGTGGCACTTTGAAACCTTGTGGTTGACCCCAGGTGGTGCCAAAGGCATCTGGCAGAGAGCAAGAGCTGTCTTCTCCAGCATCGGGAGCCAGTCCAGAGGCCCCAGCTGCAGGTGCTGATGTGCATGTCCAGGTGGAGTGGGCTCCACTCCAGAGACGGACATGGAAATGTTAGTTGAATTTCCAGGAGCCGTGGCACTGGAGACAACAGAGGGTGGTTGTGGTGACGGGGAAGGGCAGGGTGCTGTGGGAGATGGGTCAGGGAAGGCCTCTTCTAAGGAAGGGTGTGGATGGGGCTGGGATGAGAGACTATCAGGGCAGAGCTGCAGGTGTGGGGAAGGGACGGATGCAAGGCAAGGCAGGGCTCACTGGACATGACCTGGGAGCACAGAGCAGAGGGCAGAGGGGAGACCACACAGGGCCTGCGAGCCAAGACTCAATCTTAAATGCAACAGAAAACCATGGAAAGGTCTACACTGAGAGTGACGGGATCTGACTCATGCTTATTTTGTTATATTTTTAATTGTGGTAAAAAACTCATCACATAAACTTTTCCATTGCACCCACTTTCAAATGTATAGTGGAGTAAAGTACGTTCACATTGTGCAAACATCACACCATCCATTTCCAGGTTATTCTCATCTGGCAAAACTGAAACTCTGCCCCCATTAAATATGAACTCCCCATTCTCCCCAGCCCCTGACAACCACCGTTCTTTCAGTCTCTAGGAATTTGACTCCTAGACTCCTCATATAAGTGAATTTGTGGAGTATTAGTCCTTTTGTGATTAGGTTATTTCACTCATCATAACACCCTCCAGGGTCTCCAGGTTGCAACTCGCAAAGGGTGACAGATGCCAAACATGACCCCTGCCTTCACACTTGAGTTCCTGGGGAGATGGTGATACTATGTTGGAGATGGAGGACTCTGGAGGAGGGGCAACCTTGGGAGCAGTGGGTGGAGGTCAGTGTGGAAGGAAGAACCAGAGTTAAGTAATGAACGTGTTCTGTTTCAGGTGCCTCTGTGGCATCCAAATGGACGAACCCAGTAGACAGGTATTTTGGTTTTCTATTGCCGTGCGATGAACTACCACTAATGTATGACAAAAGCAACATGCATGACTGTTTTTGTCCCATGGCATTTATTGTGACTCATGGCTTTGTGGGTTAGAAATTCTGGCAGGGCTTGGATGGGCAGTTCTGTTCCTCACAGCATCAAGTGAAGTTGGTGAAGCCTTGGCCAGAAGCTTCGTGGTCTGATGCCTTGGGTGGGGGTGGCTGGGAGGCTGGGCTCAGCCAGGACTCTTGACTGGGGCATCCACAGGTGGGTCTCCAGCA
This sequence comes from Homo sapiens, assembly GCF_000001405.40. Taxonomy (NCBI): domain Eukaryota; kingdom Metazoa; phylum Chordata; class Mammalia; order Primates; family Hominidae; genus Homo; species Homo sapiens. The sequence goes on from NC_000002.12 coordinate 91,617,991, forward strand.
TGACGTCTCAGGGTGGTTGGACTCCATGCGTGATGGCTGAGGGCCCCAGAGCTGACCCTCCAAAAGACTGAACTGGAAGCTGCCTGTCTCCTAAGGCCTGGGCTTGGAAACTGCATGGTGTCATTTCTGCCATATTTTATTAGTCATGTAGTCACAGAGTCCATCTAGATTCAAAGAAAGAGGTCATAGGCCACTTCTCAATAGGATAAGTAACAAGAATTTCCAGCCAACTAAACAGCACATATAAAGATGTGGATTTCAGAAAAGAGGTCCCATTTTCCTGCCTTCCTTTCTTCTCCCTTTTCCTCCCTGTCTCCCTTGCCCTTCCTCTCACCCTTCTTTTAAAAGGTGTCCCTTAAGTACCTACAGAGGTACAGGGACTGCTATGAATGGTGAGGGTACAGCAATGACCAAGATCTCTGGTCTTCCTCTTATGGGGCTTACAAACCAGGCAACAGCAGGTGAAACCATCAACTGAGCAAGAAAGACACCTTATAGTGTACCCGTGTTAAGCAGAGAAGTGGAAAAGGAGGGTGTGGGAAATAGCTCTTGGGCTGCCATTGTAGATCAGATGGACCAGCTTAGCGGGAAGGCCTCGCTGAAGGGTGACATGAGACAGGAAGGGGTTGACCACGCATGTTCAGGGCAGAGGGAACAATGGCTGGTATAAACCCCCAGTGGGAGTGAGCGGGTCTGGTTTGAGAAACAGGAAGAAGGGTTGCCTGCAATGTGGGTGGGGTGAGTGGGGAGAAGCGTGGGTGGTTAGAAATCAGCTAACAGAGCACTTTATCACTCAGTGCGGGAGTGTAGAATTTATTTTAAATATTTTGGGAAGACTTTAGGGGTTTAATCAAGGTAGGGACAGGATCTGATTTCCATATAATGTAAATCTGGTGGCCGAGTGGAACCCTAGTTCGAGCTGGGAGACCAGGCACGGGGCCACCGCCATGGTCCAGGTGAGAGAGGCCGGCTGGACAGGTGGAGAGAGAGAGCCACAGGTGGGCTGAAGATACTGCTTTGGAGGTGCACAGTGGAGATGCGCTGAGGGACTGGATGGGAGGGGGCATGGTTATGAGAGTAGGAGGGAGATAAGGTTGACACCTGGAGCCTCGATGGACCACCTGGGAGGACGATGTAGCTGAGCAGATGGAGAAATGGGGAAGGTGGGTTGAGTTTGAGATGTGTTTTAGACACCCAAGTTGCCACCGGAAACTATGAGTCTGGGGTTCTTGGAAGTGGTCCAGGCTGGAGATTGAGACTGGGAAGTCATAGGCCTATAGCTGGTATTTACAACCAGGGACTGGGAGAGAGCCCCAGGGTTCATGTGTAGAGAGAATAGAAAGGGACCCAGGAATGAGCCCTGGATGCTGGCTAACATTAAGAGGCAGAGCAAAGGATGAAACAGCAAAGGAGACTGGGAAGGACCCGCCGAACAAGTAGGAGAGCTCCTAAGAGTCACAGCAGCCAGTAAGCAAAGCAGAAGAGAGGGGTCTTGGTTCCAGGGCCCCCGTGGTGTATACCAAATGCACAGATGCTCAAGTCCTATATATAAAATGGGGTAATACTTGCATGTAACCTACCCATCCTCCCGTACACTTTAAGACATCTCTAGATTACTTAGAATACCTAATACAATTTAAATGCTATGTAAATAGTTGTTACATTGTATTGTTCAGAGAATAATGACAAGAAGAAAGTTTGTACCTATTCAGTACAGACACAACAAACCATTTTATTTTTTTAATTAATTTATTTTTATTTTTTGAGACCGAGCTTCACTGTTGCCCAGGCTGGAGTGCAGTGGCATGATCTTGGCTTACTGCAAGCTTCGCCTCCTGGGTTCAGGGGATTCTCCTGCCTCAGCCCCCTGAGTAGCTGGGATTACAGGCACATGCCGCTACACCTTGCTAATTTTTTGCATTTTTAGTAGAGATGGGGTTTCACCATGTTGGCCAGGCTGGCCTTGAACTCCTGACCTCAGGTGATCCACCTGCCTCGGCCTCCCAAAGTTCTGGGATTATAGGTGTGAACCACTGTGCCCAGCCTACTTTTTGAATATTTTTGATCTGTGGTTGGTTCAATCCACAGACACAGGTCCCTGGATACAGAGGTCGGCTGTATATACCAGGGAGTGTTCTGTATGGAGATACAAATGAAGGCTATGTGTCTCAGTTACGTATTGCTATGGAAGAGACCACCCCAATACTCAGCAACTTAAAACAATGTACATTTATGATTTCATAGTTTCTCTGACTTATGAATCCAACTACAGTTTTAGCTGAGTATCTCTGCACAGGGCCATTCCCAGGCTGAAACTGTTGGCTGGGGCTGCATTCATTTCAAGGCTTGACTTTCCGAGAGGTGGCAGAGGATTTGTTTCCAAATCTACTCATGTGACTGTTGGCAGGATTCAGCTGTGGCTTGTTGGGCTGAGGGTCTGAGTTCCTTGCTGGCTGTTGACAGGAGTACTCCCTGGGCCCCTTGCCGCGTAGGGTGCTTCGCAGCATGGCAGCTCTGCCACCTGTCTTTCAGGAGAAGATGAGCAAGAGGGATAACAGGTCCTTTTGCAACCTAATTTCAGAAGTGACTTCCTGTGTCTTTTGCCATATTTTGTGAGTTGGAAGTGAGTCGTTAGGTGCATCCCACACTAAAGGGGTGGGGACTCCACAAGAGGGTGACTGCAGGAGCTGGGGATCATTGAGGGTCATGCTAGAGGCTGCCTGCCACAGCCAGGGAGTGGAGGAAGCTGAAGAAGGGTGCAGCCTGAAGCAGGAGTGAGGAGCCTGACAACTCAAGGGGTGGCAGAAAGGGAGAGAACTGGGACAGAGAAGAGCCTGAGAAGCAGGGAACAGTGTGTAGGTTCCGTGAGCAACACAAACAAAAGTCACTGCTTTCAGTTTTGCAAACTTAATTCTCATCTAAGCCCTCTCAGACACGTGTTAGAATTCCCATCTTTCAAATGAGGAAACTGAGGCTGGGCGAGGGCTGTAGAGATGGAGAGAGTTGGATGGGTTCAAAGAGCGCTCATTAGGGATGGATTGCAGGGAAGGGTGGGTGAGGAAGTGAGCAGGATCATGGCAGACATGGATTTGGTGGTTTCTGTGGAGATGGGAAATGCCACGAGGTCTCCTTATTGTTCTGTCAGGGGTGACTCAGTCCCCGTGCATCAGGGTCAGCTCCCATGAGGCCTGGGACTTGAGTGGGGCCTCCATGGTGGCTTGGAAGCTGCTCCCCACCACAGGCCATTTTCTCTTCTCTTGCAGCTTTGGATACCTCCCGCTTTTGGCTGTCGACCTGAGTATGACAACGGATTGGAGGAGATTGTCTTTGGCTTTGAACCCTGGATAATTGTGGTCAACCTGGCCATGCCTTTTTCTATTTTCTATGGAATGCACGCAGCTGCCTCCCTCTTTGAGGTCTATTGTAAGATATAGTCTGGTTCCACAAGAGACCGAGGAGTGAGCTAACAAGAGTTCATTGGAGCCAACTGGGAATGGCCAGGTTGGACAAATATTGCCTGACAAACATGAGAAGGGCCACCTTTTGTCTGCAAAGATTGTGCTTCCTGTGGGCTGGAACTGCCCATCACCTCTGATGAATGTAAACAAGTTAGATCAAAATCCATAAGGTGGCTGGAATCTGTCCTTGGTTAGTTAAATGCTAATCAAGCCCAAATTATTTTATTGCCTTCTAAATGATTTAGAAGAATGTGATTCTGGCTTGGGAAAAAATCTATCCAGTTTGTTTTTCATAAAAAGCATTTTCTTTGTGTCATTTATCATGTGACTCCATACAACCTTTTCCTGACCACCTGCATAGTAATTTACACTTTAAAAATTTATCCTTCTCAAAGCCTATGAATTTAGACACAATCACTATTGTTTCTGAATAGGTTTAATTTCTTGAAGTTATTTTTATCAGCTGGATAGAAATTTGTATACAGACCAATATAAAAACACATTTCTTACCTGAAATGTTGGCACATTTTTGTGATCATTTTCAAGTATTTTTAAAAAGAAATTTCACTGTTCTCTCTTTCACTGTAAATACATACATGTTTATTGTAAAAAATTTGGATATTTCAGAAAAGTAGAGAGAAAAAGTCACCTACGATGCCATTGTTCAATTAACAATTACTTTTAATATCTTGGTGTATTTCTTCCGACCATGTTGATGAGATTCTTTTTATTGTCATTATTATACCTTTGAATGGTGATGTAACATATTTGATTTTGTATTCAGTTATTTTCCTACTTAACAATATGGCATAAACCTTGCCCCCATATTGTTATAAGTTCTTTATAAATATCATTTTAATGCTGTATGATAGTCTATCAAGTGAATGTACCTTAATTAACACAGTTTCCTATGGTTGGTTTTACAGTGTTTATAACTTTTTGCTTTTATAGGTAACTCTGCAAAAATCAACCATATTTGTGAAGCATTTCCTATATTTAGAATTGCTTCTTTAAGATATGGAATTACAATTAGGATGCCTAGTCCAAAGATTAAGTTTATAAATATTTCAAAGGTGCCTAAGGAATATTGACATTTGGGAGGCCTTTGTATAGTTTTTCCACAGCTATTTTAAAATAATAATAAAATTAATTTTCTTACTGTAAGTATTAATGTATCTTTTCATTTGAGTGTATTTTTTTCAGACAGTGCAGGCAATGGGACAGTAATAAATACAAAGTTTTTTTTAACATGACTAAAGTACACTTATTTTAGAAAAAACTAAAAAATAGGCATATATACTAAAAAACAAAGGAAAGCATCATCTATACATGTCCCATCTAGAGAATCGGTTCTCCAACTGGGGACCTTGTTCCTTGAGGGGACATTTAGCAATATCTGAAGACATTTTTAAATATTTATTTTTTATTAAAATTAAAATAAATCTAAATTATACATAACATTTATACATACTTACAGGGTACATGTGATATTTTGATATAAACATATAATAAATAATAATCAAATCAGGGTGACAGATATTCATACCCTCAGGTATGTATCTTTTTTGTGTGTTAGGAACATTCTAATTTCACTATGTTAGTTACTCTAAAATATACAATAAATTGTTGTTAACTATAGTTGTACTTTTATGCTACCAAACACATTTTTGATTGTTACACTACTGCACCCAGGGATACTGCTAACACCCTACAACACACAGGACAGCCCCACCACAAAGTCTTCGGGCTGATTGTCAATGGTGCTGAGGTAATCTAGAGGTAACTGCTGTTAAGTATTGTTATCTAGGTAGCTATTAGTACACACACACAGGCTGGACGTGGTGGCTCACGCCTGTAATCCCAACACTTTGGGAGGCTGACACAGAAGGATCGCTTGAGGCCAAGAGTTTAAGACCATCCAGGGAACACAAACATAGTGAGACCCTGTCTGTACAAAACACAAAACAAAAAACCCAGGTGCGGTGGAGTATGCCTGTAGTCCCAGCTACTCATGAGGCTGAGTGGAGAAGATCACTTGAGCCCAGGAGTTTGAGATTGGGTAGTGAGACAAGATTGTGCCACTGCATTCTAGCTTGGGTGGCACAGTAAGACCCTGTCTCTAAAAAATAAAAATTAAAAAAATTATATATATATATATATATTTATTTATTTTTATTTTTTTGAGACAGACTTTCACTCTTGTCACCCAGGCTGGAGTGCAATGGCATGATCTTGGCTCACTGCAACTGCCGCCTCCTGGGGTCAAGCGATTCTCCTGCCTCAGCCTCTGGAGTAACTAGGATTACAGATGCCTGCCACCATGCCCAGCTAATTTTTGTATTTTTAGTACAGACAGGGTTTCATCATATTGGCCAGGCTGGCCTTGAACCCCTGACCTCAGGTGATCCACCTACCTTGGCCTCCCAAAGTGCTGGGATTACAGACGTGGGCCACCGCACTCAGCCGATAATTTTTTTTTCAAAAGTACGCATACACCCACACCCACACCCACACCCACATGAAGGCGGTGTTTTTATGTATACTGCGTTTGTATGTAACTTGCTTTTTTCCTCTTGATACACCAGAGTGCTTCTTCCCTATTTTGGGTCCCAGGCATCGATGCTCTGGCTTTAGTGTGCCTGAGACTCATCTGGGGAACTTGTTAGGATTCCTGCCCTCCAAGCTGGAAGTGCAGATTCAGTCTGGAGGGGGGCCCGGAAGTCTGCACTTTCATGAGCATCTCAGGGGATGCCAACTCCCTTTGATAAGCATCTCGTTGGACGTCCATGGACCCCAAGCTAGGACTCCTAAGTTTCCTTGACATTGTATATCCATATGCAGTATGATTTTGGGTGGATTTAAGGTACATTCCATGGAAGGATGTACCATTCCTTATTTTTTCAAACGGTGATGTTGGACATTTAGAGATATTTAGGTGGTTCCTTTTTTTTGGTGCTACTGTAAACAATGCTATGGTGATCATCTTTGTAACTGAGTCTTTGAGGTCAGTAACAAACTATCCTCTGGAGTGATTTATGCTGACTAAGCAGTGACTGAGCAAGAATACAGGTTTCCCCATTTTGGTTGGCATTACCTTTACCCCTGTTCTAAGCACATTAGAAAAGCCCTGAGGCCTCAGCTGTGGGTTTTGGGCTCTTCCAAGGAGACAAAGGAGCTATCATAATGCTGGGAATGATGGATCCAGGCTGTGGGGATGCTATTGTGGACACAGGGCAGCATCAGAGCTTGGAAAAGCCTGCATGGCTGGCCAGGCTCAGCGTTTCCAAGAAAGGATCTAAAGATGGATGAAGCATCTCCTATCCTCAACAGGCAGCCTCAGGGATGGCTATTTCAGCTAGGTGCTTTTTACCTCCAAGTAATTAAGCATCCTGACTCAACCAGCGTAGGTGGCAAGGAAAATTTACTATCTTAATGCCAAGGCAATTTGCCAAAGAGGAACCAGAATGTGCAATACACAAGTGTTAAGGTCTCAGGGATTAATACAGGGAATACAAATTGAAATAATAATGAGTTACCACTTCCCATTCATTAGATTGGCAAGAGTTGGCAAGAAGTGAAAGAAAGACTCATATATACTGCTAGTGGGAGCGTAAATGAATAAAATCAGATAGGACAGCAATTGGCAATATTGACTAAGGCTGGAGGTACACATTCCTTACGACCTAAGAATTCTGTTCCTTGGCATGTGCTCCAGAGACAGCCTCACACCTATGTTCAGGAATGTTCACTCAGCATAACTTGTAATTAGGAAAATGGAAAACAGCCTAAATGCCTGTCAATTAGGAGTGCAGATAGACACACTAGGGACAATTTCCATGATGGACTATTTCACAAGAGGAAAAAATGAACACAACAGAATTCATGTATCAACATGGATAGTCCCCCAAAACAATGTTGAATGAAACATTAAGTAGTGTAGGGGTATAATTGGTATGATACCATTTATATGATGTCTAGGAACAAGCAAAACAATCCCTGATATTGCTGGGGGATATGTCCATATGTAGTAAGATTACAAACACACCTGAAGAAAGAATGCATGCCAAGTTCAGTGTAGTGAGAAGGGGAGGGGCTTGGAACCAGCAACTGAGTTCATGCTGTGTCCGAAATATTTTTTCTTAAGCAAAGATGTATTCATTATGTTTTCATCTGCACTCTTAAAATGTACTCTTTAAATGTACTTTTAATGTATTTTAAAGAAATTTTAAATGAGATATTTAATAATACAAGTATTTGAGAGCAATAAAAAAAGAAAGTCCATACAAGGAAGATGAACTTAGACAGAGCTACCAGAGCAGGTAAATTTCCAGCATTCTTCCATCATTGTTGAGAGATGGGTGTCAAAGCCAGTGGTGTTCTGTTCTCCTTGGCAGGTAGATCCCCAAGGTGGGGTAGCTCAATGCAATTAGCTGGTAAGATCACCGGACTCACTCTTCCAGGGATGACTCCGTGCACATTAGGAAACCTGACATTGGTTTGCCTTCCAATGTCTCTCTTTGCTGTGGGGGCAATGCCCTGGGCACACATATTATCAGGACAATCTGCAATGGACTGGATGTTTGTTTCCCCCTTAAATTCATATGTTGAAGCTTAATGGCAATGTGGTGGTATTTGGAGGTGGGGTCTTTGGGAGGTAATGAGGTCATGACGGTAGGACCCTTGTGAATGGGATTAGCGCCTGTAAGAGGGGGCCAGAGAGCTTGTGCACTTCTTTTCTGTCATGTGAGGATGCAATGAGAAGACAGCTGTCTGTGACCTGGAAGAGGGCCCTCACCAGAACCCGACCATGCCAGCACTGGCACCCTGATCTTGGGCTTCCAGCCTCCAGACCTGTGAGAAATAAATGCCTGTTGTTGATTAGCCACCCAGCTTGTGCTATTTTGTTACAGCAGCTTGCACTGAGTAAGTTACTCCCTTACCTGCTGTAACCGTATACAGGAGGGGCCTGTGCATTTGGTAGCTTGGGTTCATCCCTGAGCCTGTGAAACTTAGATTTGAACTCATGTATTTTGGGTGCCATGATTCTTGTCGAGGCAGAGTGGAAGGGCAAGGGCATGGAGCTAGATATCCAGGGTGACAACAGGCTCCCATGGTGCCTGAGTGTGCATTAAAAAAAGCACCCCTTCCACAAGACATTCTCCAAACTGTCGAACCAAACCCACCAGCATCTTCCTACCTGCCCATGTGCCAGGGTGGGGGGAAAATTAGACATGTTTGTCTCCCCACTACAAATGTCGGCCAAAAGATCCAACTGGAAAATGCTTGCTACTACCTTCCAGTTTCACGACCCTCTCAGCTAAGGAAGCCCTTCCTGCATCCATGTCTCTCTATGCCTGTCTGTGAAGTCCCAGCTCACAGCTGACCTGGTTAGGTAAGCACTGTTATTTTGTTTCAACGGAGGGAACCTTTGGATTACATGTACATAGCTAGTCAGTGGCAGCATTTGGTTCATCACGCTGGTTTTAAAAACTCCATTGCCTTTTCTCTTCATTAGTCCTATCATCTTATGAAGAAAGTCAACTCAGTACAAATATCCGTCAAACAATGGCTTAGGGATATGCGTACAGAACAATCAAATCAGCTGACAGAATATCTGGCTTTTCACCCAGTTATAAAATGTTGTGCTTTGCTTAACATGGTGAAGAACAAAAGCTGCTAACAGCTGATTTCTTTCTCCCAAAATGTGAGCCCTGCTATGGGAGAGCGCAACCAGCAGGGGGCGCTGGCGTCTTTCCCTGAACTTCAGGGCACGCTTGAGAGATGGTACCTGGTGGGTGGGCAGTGGCCTCAAGTTACCAAACGAAGGGGTGGGCGCAAGGTGTGCTGATTGGACTCCATTGGCTGCGCTGGGTTCCCGTAGCGTATGTGAGAGATACCTGTCACCACTTCCCGGCTAAGACCCAGCCAGTTTCAGCAAGGACGTTCCCTCCACTGGACCCACCAGGACCCACTCCCTGCAGGGCACCATGGTCCCTCTCAAGAGGCTTTGGAGGAACTTGGGAGTTACAGGGTGTTCCCCTGATGGGAGAGTCCCTGGCATGCCACGTGTGAATGGGACTGAGTTGGGTGGGGGAGGCTGGGAGGGCACTTGTGCTGGGTGTGATGGGGGAATGTAGTCCATGTTAGTTCCTCCTAAGAGCAGCCACTAAGAGGACTCTGGGGAGGGACAGATGGGTGCAGTGTTTTAACCCACAAATGGAAGGGTAATTCTGGCATGATGGTGGTTTTAGCAATGTTAGTAATGCACGGACCACCATAACCATGATAGTGAAGCTACATGTCTAAAAAATGTAAATCAAATCAGACCACCTGCTAAAAACGATTCAATGGTTTCCCATTGCCCCCCCTCCCTTTTTTTGAGGCAGAGTTTCGCTCTTGTCACCCAGGCTGGAGTGCAATGGCATGATCTCAGCTCACTGCAACCTCCGCCTCCTGGGTTCAAGCGATTCTCCTGCCTCAGCCTCCTGAGTAGCTGGGATTACAGGCGCGCGCCATAACACTTGTCTAATTTTTGTATTTTTAGTAAAGATGGGGTTTCACCATGTTGGTCAGGCTGTTCTCGAACTCCTGACCTCAGGTGATCCACCCGCCTCGGCCTCCCAAAGTGCTGGAATTATAGGCATGAGCTACCGCGCCCCGCCCTCCCATTGCTTTTAGTAGAAAATACAAACTCCTACCCGTGGACTATTGGGGCTATCACGATCTGGGCTCTGCATCTCCATCTTCTCATGCCAATCCCATCCTCTGCCTCCCCAACCCCATCGCCCTTCCTCCTGCATGGCTGCAGCCACACCTGGCTTCTTCTCTTTAATATTCCTACCATGCCTGCCCCACAGGACCTCTGCAGGAGCTGCTCTCTCTGGGGTGTGCACTTCTGGCTCAGGGCAAGGATCCATCTTTCTCACCCTTCAGGCTGTGTGTAGATAGATGTCCCTCTGTAGTGAGGTCCTCACTATCCAGCTCATTACGCTTCACTTCGGCACCCTGTCCAGACCCTTCACAGTCAGCTGCCAGCTGTGTTTTCTTATTTATTGGTGCTCATCCAGTCCAGTCCTGGATGGGACTGCCTGCCTCATGAGGGCAGGAGCTTTGCCTTCTCCTCTCCCAGAACCTCCCTGATGTGGTTGCTTGGACACGTGGGCCACCCTCCCAACACCAGACTATCGCAGGGTGCGGGAAGGGCTGGGGCCGCCGCAGGCCTTGAGGATCGCCATGTTTCCTTCTCTAGTTTTTGAGACATTGGTGAAGATCCTCTGCCTGCTTCTAGCACACACATCCTGACCTCCTTCTGCCTTCAAGACACAAGATGGCGCTTTAAGCCTTGTTGTTAAGAAAGAGGACTACAAACGCTTGAGTTTCTTCCCTCTGCTCGCTCTCAGACGTGGCTTGCGAGGGGATTTGTGGGGTCCACCTCTCCACAGCTTGGTGGGTGGGTTCCGTCCTCCTCCTCGGACAGGGCAGGACCAGCAGCCAATCACTCCTTCCTGCCAGAGAAGGAAGTGGCGCTCAAACTGTTTTTCTGACATCAGTAATATCTGCCTACACTCCTCCAGCAGGCATCTCTGAAACATCAGTTTTGGGTGATTGGTCTAAGCCAAGCACCTTTGATAGCAAGGGTAAGCCCGCTATCCTTTGCTGGAGATGGGCATGGAGAGGGCATGTGAAGAGTGCCAGACCAGGCGTTGACAAGCTATGGCTCATGAGAAGAATGGAGTGTACATTTTTAAAGGGTCATCTCTCTCTCTCTCTCTCTCTCACACACACACACACACACACACACACACACACACACACACACACAGAATATGCTGCAGAGATCATATGTGACCTGACAAGCCTAAAATACTCACTATCTGGTCCTTTATAGGAAATGCTTACTGACCTCTGGTCTAAACACTGAGAGGTAAGGGACCTCTGCTGCACCGCCCTGGAGGGATTTTTGATCCCTAAATAAGAAGAGGTGAGGAGGAAGCCTGCCCTTCCTCCTGGCCTGAATGTGCTTCTGAGAGGCAGTCAAGCCTGGAACTGTGGCAGCCGGCTTGTGACCATGAAGAAACCAGCCCAAGAAGAAAGGCCAACCTGCCAAGGAGGGAACAGGAGCCTGGGGCCTCGAGGACTTTGCTGAGCCTTCGTGTGACCCTGGAGCCACCTTCCTCTGGAGTTCTTGTGATGGCAGATAATTCAATGTTGTCATTGTTCAAGCCAGGGGTGGGCGAACTTTTTCCATAAAGGGCCACATGGAAAACATTTTAGGCTCTGTGTGGGCCATGAGATCTCTGTTGGCACTACAACCCTAAAAACAACCATAGACAATGTGTAAATGAATGGGTACACCTATGTTCCAATAAAACTTTATAAAAATAGATGGTGGGCTGAATTTGGCCCTGAGGGCCAGAGTTTGCTGTGTATTTTGTTTGTTTGTTTGTTACTTGCAGCTGACCTATCCTAACTAGTACTCCCTGAAGTCTGCCTCAGCTCAGAAGCGTCCTTGGGTTCCAAGCCACAGGGGCTAAGCTTGAGTGCGGGTGGGGTCTGCAGCAGGGTGGTGGGAGGGATAAGCACATAAAGGCCCACACATTGATCTGCCCTTTCTATGGTCCAGGTCGTGCTTTCCTGCAATATCTTCTCATCATGGGCCTAGCAATCATGATGGGAAGGCCCCACTTTAAGAGAATGCTTTCAGCATTTCCAGGCGGTCCCTGCTTGCCCTCAACACTACATGTAGGCCTCAGCTTCCACACCTAGCATGTTTGTTAAGCAAGACTAAGCCACATGAAGCAACAGGGCAAGGGGAGGGCCCTTGTGTTCTCAGGGTCCCACGGCAGAAGTGTGGTTCCGGGAGAAATGGGGGAGTGTGCCCTCCCCTGAACAAGCATATTCCCTCAGTGTGGAGGAGCCCCTCCAAAATTTACAAGTGCTGTGATGACACGATGCTCATTCAGACCACCGGCTGCAGACAGATTGCAGAAATACGTAAGGGCTCTGTCCTTGGAGGTAGGATCTGGTTGCTCCTTGTTCCCTAAGCTTGGCCCTGAAGGGAGGGCAGGATTCCAGCCAGAGTGAATGAAGAGTGAGGCTTTGGGGAAGGGCTCAGATTGCCCCTCGTGCTTGTGTTCAGATTCCTGCTGATTGGTTGTTCCCCAGGGAGACGAGGCTTCAAGGCCAGGTCTCTGCTCTGAGTTAACTTCACCACCCTGCACCTTGGTGGCAGTAAGAGAGTGACCTCAAAGGGCCGCTGAGAGAATTGAGGTGGATGCCTGTACAGCTCTAGGTATGGCACCCATTCCGGCCCCCTGGCAAGCTCTTACTACGGTTGCAGGTGTAATTTCCAGTCTCTGCCTCCAGGGATTGCTGCTGAGCACAGACACGTTTCTCTGCTCACAGAGTGAGGCCGCCAAGATGATTCTCAGATCTCTGGTTCTGTATACAGCCCAGATAGCCTGTGAAAGGGGGAATGATAACTCCCAAAGATGTCCACGTCCTAACCTCCAGAACTAGTGAATGGGATGTTGGCAGAAGAGACTCTGTGGATGAGATTACTTCAAAGATTTGCGACGGGGAGACTATTGTGGGTTATCTGTGTGGATACGCAATGTCATCACAAAGTGTCCTTATAGATGAAGAGGGAGGCAGAGGAGATTCGACTACAGAAGAGAAGGTGATGTGACCGTGGAGGCAGAGATTGGAGTGATGTGCCCACAATTCACAATGCCAGCAGCCACCAAAGAGGCAAGGAATGGATTCTCCTCTAGGGCTTCTACCAAGGGTCCTGGCAACACCTCAGTTTTAGTCCAGGAAGACTCGTTTTGGATTTGTGACCTCCAGAACTATGAGAGAATACATCTGTGTTGTTTGAAGCTGCAAGGTTTGCAGTAGTGTGTTAGAGCAGCGTGGAAAATCCATTGAGTCCCATTGCCCTGCTTTTTATGCCTTGTACAAAAGCAGAAAATGGTATGGATGGAATGGGAGGTCATTATGTTAAGTGAAACAAGCCAGGCACAGAAAGACACACATTGCGTGTTCTCACTGATTTGTGGGATCTAAAAATCAAAACAGTTCAACTCATGGAGCTAGAGAGCAGAAAGGTGGTTACCAGAGCCTGGGAAGAGGAGTGGGGGGCTGAGGGCAGGTGGGGATGATGTTAGAAAGAATGAATAAGATGTACTGTTTGATCACACAGCAGGATGACTGTAGTCATTAATAACTTAATTGTACATTTACAAATAACTAAAAGAGTGTAATTAGATCGTTGGTATTAGAAAGGATAAATGTGCCGGGTGCAGTGGCTCAGGCCTGTAATCCCAGCACTTTGGGAGGCTGAAGTGGGCGGATCATGAGGTCAGGAGATCGAGAGCATCCCCGTGAACACTGTGAAACCCCATCTCTACTAAAAATACAAAAAAAAATTAGCCTGGCATGGTGGCGGGCACCTGTAGTCCCAGCTGCTCAAGAGGCTGAGGCAGGAGAATGGCATGAACCTGGGGGGCGGAGCTTGCAGTGAGCAGAGATCACGCCATTGCACTCCAGCCTGGGTAACAGAGCTGGACTCCATCTCAAAAAAAAAAAAAAAAGAAAGAAAGAAAGGATAAATGCTTCAGGGATGGACACCTCATTCTCCATGATGTGCTTATTTCACAGTGCATGTCTGTATCAAAACATCTCATGTACCTCACATATATATGCACCTAATGTGTACCCAGAAAAAAATTAAAAAGAGCATAAAAGAAAAAAAAAAAAACAAAAAACAAAAGCAGAAAAGAGGGCAAATGAGAGTCGGGGACTGTGATCTCATTTTGCCCAGGATGAAGCTGGGTGACCCGGGTACAGAGCAAGCCCCTTGGCTTCTTGAGCTCCCATGTGCAGAGTGAGGGGCGGATGCAGGGGCAGGGTGTGACTTTGATGAACATTCCCTCCAGGTGGCTCTGCCCTCGGCCCCCTCTCAGGATTGTTTGTAGCTCTTTGCCTCTTCTTGGCCATTTGGAGTTTTCAGGGGCCCTACTAGGTCCTCTTGACTTCTCACTTTGCTCTCCTTGGTGGTCTAATTCATGGCCAAGGGCCTACCTGCCGTCCAGACACTGCTTTTCAACCTGACCTCTCAGCTCCAGGCTGGTTATTTCCAACAGCCTACTTGGGTGTCTCAAAGGCACTTTACACTCAATGTGTCCAACACTGAACTCAAGGCTCCCGGCATCGCCAGTTATCCCTCCACATTTCCAACCCTATGGATTGCACTAGCGTCTGTCCATTATGCAGGCCAGGCTGCAAAGGCTGTCTCAACGCTGCCCTTATGCTGTCGGGGCTTAGAACATGACACCCCAAAGCATGGTGCCTCAGCCTGAGTATTTTGAACTGAAGGACATTGGAAGGAACTCAGAAGCAAGGTCTTTCCAACCTTCTCCTCATACCCTCTCTTCTGCTTGCCTTCATCCTCCAAAGTGAGTCACAGAAACCAGAATTTATCTTCCTCAAGATGGGTCATAGAACCTAGAAACCCTCCTGCTAAAGCAAACCATAAAACCTAGAAAGGTCACTCTCTATCTTCTCCTTCTCCTTTGAAAACTCTCATTTCAGAAAGGGTCCTGCCCCATACCCAGGAGGAATGGAGGCTACACAGAGAGGCTGAGAAGAATCTGAGCAGACAGTTTTGCTGGGTCCCCTTTCAGTCTGTTCCCAGTAGGTCATACCCGTTTGTCCAATCACATTTCTATCTAGCTGTCCATTCTTCATCTAATCTAAGCATAAAAATTAACAGTTTTCCCTGGGCCTTTGGGTTGTCATTTCTGAAGCCTCCCATGTCACATAAAACTTGGATTAAATAAATTTGCTCTGTTTTTCTCTTGTTAATATGTCTTTTGTTATAGGAGTGTTGGCCGTGACCCTTGAGATGGATAAGTAAAGGACTCACACCTTCACAGCCCTACAGCCCCATCTCCAATAAGTAGCCACACCTGCCACTTCTACCCACAAATACCTGGATTCTGCTCATCTCTTCCCATTGTCATTGCTACCACTCAATTCCCTGTCACCGTCATCTCCTGATGGGTCTTCTGGAGCAGCTTCCTCACTCATCTCTCCAGTTCATCCCTTGCTTCTACCAGTCTGTCCTTGCTATGGTAAAACGGGCATTTGAGAAAGGCAATTACACGGTTACCCCTCCCCTGCTCAGCACTCTCCAATTTGATGGACACCAAAATCCTTGCCTTGGTCCCCTTGGTCCTGCGTGCCCTCCTCTCTGGCCTCATCTCAAGCCACTGCCCTCGTGCTGCACTCTTCCTCTGTAATCCACACTGCTGGCTTCTTTTCCTTGAATGTGCTATGCTCCCTCCTGCTGCAGGAGGGCCTTGCACTTGCTGCTTCCTCTTCTTTCTTCTAGTGAATTCCTATTCCTCCTTCAGCTCTCCATTCAAGCCAGTGCCTCAGGGAAGTCTTCCCTCACCTCTAGACCAGGTCTGGTGTCCCTGCCATGAAGCCTCACAACACCATCCAGCTTTCCTTCCTTGCATCTGTCATAGCTTTTGATCATACAATGATGTGTGGGACTTTCTGAATAGTGGTCCCTCTTTACCAATTAACTGTGAGCCTCAAGAGGAAGGAATAATGTCTGTTTGCTCCTCCTCTGTATCCCTAGTGGTGGTAGAAGAGGAGGTCAATAATTATCCTCAAATGAACTAAAATGAATGGATGCTTAGATTTTTTTTTTTTGAGACAGGGTCTTGCTCTGTTGCCCAGATGTGATGATCATGGTTCACTGCAGCCTCAACCCCTGGGGCTCAAGTGATCCTCCCACCTCAGCCTCCCAGGTAGCTGGAACTACATGCATCCACCTCTATGCCTGGCTAATTTTTGTATTTTATTTTATTTTATTTTTTTAGAGATGGGCTATTTTTACGTTGCCCAGACTCGTCTCGAACACCTGGGCTAAAGCAATCTGCCCACCTCGGCCTCCCAAAGTACTGGGATTACAGGCAGGAGCCACTGTATCTGGCCCAATGCTTAAGATCTTTTGAGACAAAAAGGAGGAAGTGGGAGATAGTTTCAATACCACAGGAAGCTCAGAAAAAAAAAACACCCCCCAACCCCCCCAAAAAACATACATGTATTTATTTGATATTTGGCTGTGCAGGTTAAAAAGTTATTTATTTATTTATTTGCTTTTGGAAAAACTCGAGTCAGCTTGATGAGGTCACTTTTTCCTGCTACTCCTTCTTATTTGGGGAGTAAAGGGACTTCCATGATCTGGATGGATGATTGTGATGAGGAGGTTACCGGGATTGCCCTGACAGAATGGACTGTGAGCTTTCAGGGATGGAAGCTGCATCTTCATCTCTATAATCCCTTGTTTGGCACAGTGTCAGCCTGAGAAGATGCTTGGCGGCAAATATGAATTATGGCACACACTGTTAATTTCTTATCCATGAGCAGTTCCTTTGCTTGCTAACAGAAAATCCTGATTTTGCTTGGATAAACAAAGTGTCCAGTGTCAGGTGATGACTCAAGGTTGGTTTAAGCCAGGCTGGGGCCTTTTGTTCCTTTTTGCCTGATACTTGAAAGAGTTTACAGTAGGGACTGTCCTGTGGTCCACTTCTGGATAATGAGACATAAGGAGAAGTCTGCTGTGTCCTTCTAAGAAGATTTTCTTCACTGGTTAAAGGCGAGAGACACATCAAGAAAAGCCCCCTTTGACATAGCTTCCTCCATCTTGTTCCTGGAGTCTGAACTTGGTCATGATGGCTGGAGCTATAACAGCCATCCTGTGATCATGAAGCTCCAAGGGTATAAAGCAGTAATATTCAGGAAGGTGGAGCCTTTGGACAAAATGATAAAAGGAATCTGGGGCCTCAGCTACATCACTGAGCCTTTTCAAGTCCTTGCCTTCTTCCTCTTAAATCCTGTTATGTTACATAACTAAATGTCTTTATTGCAAAAGCCACAAGTAGTCAGACTTTCTGTTATTCACAGCTGAAAGCATTTCTCTTATTTTCAAATAATTTCAGACTTATAGAAGAATTAATTGTAAGGCAAAGAACTTTCATGCCCTTCACCCACCTTCACCAATTGTTATTTGCCACATTTACTTTCTCCATCTATATAGTCTATTCTACTCTATTATCTTTCCCTGAACCATTTGAAATTCAGTTGCAGGCATCCTTCTCCTCTCCCTTAAACATTTCAGAACATATTCCATCAGAACAAGAAGACTCTAGTGCTCAAGTTCGGGGAATTTGAGGTTGATGCCATACAATCGTGTAGTCCTTGATAATTGTCTAATATACAGTTCACTTAAAATTTCGCCAACAGTCCCAATAATGCCCTTTAAGGCACGTTTCCCCTGATCCAGCTGTCATACCTTTTTAGTCTCCCTTAATCTGGAACAGTTCCTCTGCCTCTTTTTGTCTATCATGGGGTTGACACCGAAGAACAGTTCAGGTCAGTCCTTGAAGGTCCCTCCATCTGTGTTTGTCTGATGTTTCCTCCAGGGACCGGAATGCTACAGAAGCAATGCTGTGTTCTCAGTGTATCACATCAAGAGACACTTGGCACCCATTTGTCCTATTCCTGGTGTTGTTAACTTTGTTCAGCTCATTAAGGGAGGACCTGCTGGGTTTCTCTACTGTTAAGTTACCACTTTTTCTCTTTGCAATTAATAAACCATATGAGTGGAAGTGCTATGAGACAATGAAAACATACTTTACCTTCTTAAATTTTCACTCAGTGATGATTCTTCCTTGAATAAACTATTATGATCATGTTTGCAAATGGAGTTTTCTATTATTCCCTCTGTATTTATTCATTGGCATTCTACCGTAAGAAAGTCTTCTTCCTTCTTCCCTCCCTCCGTCCCTCCCTCCCTCTCTTCTTCTTTCTTTTCTTCCTTCCCTTTTCTTTCTTTCTATAGTTATAGGTTCTCATTTTATTCAATAGACTATAATCTACCATTATCATTATTAATTTGGATGCTCACATCATCCCAGATTTGGCCACTGGAAGCCCCTTGAAGTTGATTGATGTGTCCTTTGACATGTCCCTGTCATTTTTTAAATGCTTCCTTGCTTTCTGGCACCACACAGCACTCTGGGCTCACCTTGTACTTCCCTACCCCAGCCTTAGCATCAGCCATTTCTACAAGGAGCTCTGAGTCCTTTTAGTGAAGGGTGGTATTTATAAACCACAATCTGGATGGTTTGTGGATATTGCACAGCATTCAGTCAGAAGCCATGGGAAATGAAGCGACATTTATTGAAACTTGTATTAGTCAAGCAACTTAATGCTAGGCTAAGTTGCAGTGAGTAATAATCCCTAACCCCAGTGACAGTGCAGAAAAAGAAGGGTTTCATATGTGGAGTGTGATGCATGTCAATGGGAGTTTCCTCCACCTGGTGACTCAGGTATCCAGGCACATTCATCTCTGCAGGTCTGCCATCTTGACACGAGGTCATTGCAGAAGGAGAGAGGGTGTAGAGTCATGCCAGTTCTTAGGTGCTCCTGACAAGGAGATCTGCAGCACTCTGCTCACATTCCTGTTTTCCAGAACTCAGCCAGTACCCAGTGCAACTGCCAAAGAGTCTGGGAAGCATAGAGAGTACACGGATAGCTGGAGACCCTTCATCACTACTGTCATATGTTCATTTATGCAATACATATCAATGGGTTCACCCCAGTCAGGCTGACTCCAAGAGGCTAAGATGACTTCACCTTGGGTGGTTTGCAGCTGGGAAAGAAAGGCAAGTCGGCACTGATCGAACAGATCATTCACTTCAGTGGGCTGTCGAGCTGTGCTAGAGGCAGGTGCAGTGTGCTGCAGAAATACAGATGGTGACTACTACCCTGGAGTCTTGGGGAGATCCTGGTGTGCATTGGTGTGGGGTTGGAAAGGTGAGTTGGCACTCACCCCCTTCAAGAAGAAGTGGGAAGGACATTTCAGGCAGGGGCAAGTGCAAAGGCACAGGGCCTGAAAGAACTAGGCTGGGAGAAGAGGATGGCATTGGAATGGGTGGGAGAGGGGTCTGCTGGGGAAAGCTGGGGAGGCAAGAGACGAGGCTGGACAAGCAGATTGTGAAGGGCCACACTGAGGAGCTGGGGATTAGTACATTAATTTTTATTAATTGGATTAATGATTAATAATGTGGGTTGCAGGGAATCATAGGGAGTGTGAAGAACACTGTGGTTGTGTTTTAGGAGGATTGCCTTGGTGGTAGAGCGTTGGATGGAGGAGATAGGAGTGGGGGTGAACACATCAACACAGAGAGACCTGCCCAAAGGCTCTGGCAGCCATGCAAGCAAAAAGCGTCGAGGACCTGAATTAGAAGGTGGCACTGGGGATGGATAGAAGGGGTTGGCTGGTGGAGCCATTTTGAGATAATGAATCAATAATAGCTTCCATCTATTGTGGATTGTCAAGATGTATTATTGGCTCACAATCCTTCCTGGCCTTCTCACATTCCTGCGACTTCCCTGTGGACAGGACAGAGCAGATTTCTTGCTGTGCACATGACCAGCTTTGGCTAGAGATGCATGAGCAGAGTTAGTGCATGCCTGGTCTGACTGGAGGCTCTAACTGAATGTGGTGTTGGGTGGCAGCACTGACCCCACCCCTGCACAATGAGAAGAGCAAGCTCCAGGGAACCACCGGCCTGTGAATGAGACACACAGAAGCAAACAGAGCCTGGCCCCCAGTCCGAGGCAAGGCTTCCCAGCTCACTGCAAATTATTAGCAAGAAATAAACACTTGTTTTGAGCTGCTGAGCCCCTGGGGCTGTGTGTTATGCAGCAATGCTGTAAAAACACTTGACCAATACAGGGACTTGCCCTTTCGTAAGTACAGCATCTCATTTACCCATGATATCTCTTCATAGTAAGGATTAGGGATGCCATTTTAAAGATGAGGCAACTGAGGCTTAGAGAGGTTACGTCACTTGCTTAAGGTTCCAGAGCTGGTAAGTCAGAGAAGGATTTGAAGCCAGGACTGTCTCGTAAGCCCATCCTTCTGCCTCTGTCTACACAGTGCTGCCTTTCAAAGGTGGCAAGCTCCTGAGTTAGCCATTTTAACCTGCCAGAAACCTCCTTGCTCCTGAACTGGGGAGAGGGACTGAGCTTTGGATTTCAAGAGGAGGATCTAGGGCCACCATCAGGGGTCCTGTGCTTGAGGTGATGTGGCTGGCTCATCACCTGAGCTTTTCCACCTGCCCCTCCCCATCCCCTCCCCTCTACCCTGCTCCCTGCCCTGTGCCAAGCTGAGCACATTGGCAGGGCTGGTGGCTGGGAGCTCAGCGTGTATCCTGTAGCCACAGAACAGAGCTTTTGTTGCTGTAATACAGAGTTCAGTCTTGATATCAGCAGTGGGTGCAGTAAAATCCCACCGATTTTCTTATCAAGTTTTCCATTTGTGTCAGTGAAGCAAATCCAATTTAAAATACATCTTCAGAAAAAGGAGGGTCAGTGAGTTCAAACAGAAGAATATTTGCTAACTGGATCAGGAAACCTTGCTCTGTGCTAAACTGTTTGAGGAAAATCCTCTTAGCACAATTTTGCAGGAGCCAGGCATGTGAAAGGATCATTTCCTCACTATCATCCCCTGAGATCAGGGCTCTGGCTGGATGAAATGAGGCAGGAGTTTATTAGCTGCTTAGCTGATTAGAGCCTGTGCTGATGAGGCTGAGGTCTGACAAGTCAACATCAGAGAGAGATCTTGGTTTCCAGTAGTTTTTAATTCTGCCCAACTCTTTGTGGGAAAGAGCCTGGGTAAGACAGGACACCAACTACTTGCTCAAAACCACCATCCCCACCAGACAAGCAGCTCATGGAACCCTCCCTGGGAAAGACTGAAGGCTGTGGAGACCTAGCTGCATATTATATTATATTTTGCATTATAAGGTCTTATCGATACAGAGAAAACTCTCAATTTCAAAAAATGATGAGAAACTCAGTCTTTTTTTTTTTTAGATAGTCTTGCTCTGTCTCATCTCCCAGGCTGGAGTGCAGTGGCACAATCTCAGCTCACTGTAACCTCTGCCTCCTGGTTCAAGTTATTCTTCTCCCTCAGCCTCCCGAGTAGCTGGGATTACAGGTGTCTGCCACCTCACCCAGCTAATTTTTGTATTTTTAGTAGAGATGGGGTTTTGCCATGTTGGTCAGGCTGGTTTGAGCTCCTGACCTCAGGTGATCTACCCACCTCAGCCCCTAAAGTGCTGGGATTAAAGGCGTGAGCCACCACACCTGGCCAAAAAATGAAGAGAAACTCAGTGTTTTGGATAACAGGGAGAATGTTTAGTGTTCTAAAAATGTATCCTTTCACATGTAAAGCTTCTTGCCTCTGAACCTTTGCCAGTGCTGTTCCGTCTGCTAGGGTTGTACTTCCACCCTGCATGCTGGTGAATTCCACTTTGCCCTCCAGCCCAAGCATCATATTTTCCAGACAGCCATTTGCCGTGCTGCCCACCAAACAGGCTGTCCCTTGTTCTCATGCCACTGCTGAACATTGTTTATTCCTTGTGCTAGGCAGGGCTTTGTCAGTTGTAACAACTGAAACTCCACTTAGACATGTTTCAGCTAAAGGGTGACTTATTGATTTTTATAACTGCAAAGACCATGGTATGCCTGAATTTTGAGGTTCAAGTAAGTTATTTTCTCTCTCTCTCTCTCTCTCCTCTTCCTCTCCTCCTTCTCATTTTCCTTCTCTTTTTCTTTCCTCTCCTCCTTCCCTCCGTTCTTCTTTTCCTTCTTTTTATCTTTCTTCCTCTCTCCTTACTTTTTTCTCTTTCTCTCCCTTTAATTTGCTCTATTCTCTATATGGGCCTCATTCCTTCTACTGCAAATAAGGAAAATGACCACCTGGAAACCCAAGGCCCACCACATCCCAGCAGAGCCACCCCAGCTGAAAGAAACCCAGCTTCTCCCTCAAGCATCTACACATCAATCCAGGCCAGAACTCCATCTGACCCTTGTGAGACATGCTTCCACACCTCGGTGGACCACTGAGGCTCGGGAATTCAGCATAATGATGGGCACTTCTGGGGTCATGGGCCTTCCCTGTAGCTAAGGTGACAAAAGGACAGACTGGCCTGGAATGTCCATGCCAGCTGGCTTACATGCCCAGCCATTGATGCTGGCTGTTTTCTGGGAGCTCAGTTGTGCTCTAGACCAGAAAACCTCCATGTGGCCTCTCCACATGACCCTCATTTCTCAGCATGGTGGCTGCGGCCCAACGGGGAGACTCTCATGAGCAAAGATTCCAAAAGACCAAAGTGGCAGCTACGAGCCTCCTCATGGCTGAGCCTCAGCCCCCATGCAGCATCAGAGCCACTGCAGTCTTGGCTTCCCAGGAGGCCAGCCCAGAAGCAGCAAGAAAGGGGACCTGGAAACCAGGAGGTTTGGTTCGAGGGAAGGCCCTCTGATATAATTTGGATATTTATCTCCACCCAGATTTCAAGTTAAATTGCAGTCTCCAGTGCTGGAGTTGGGGCATGGTGGGAGTTGTTTTGACCATGGGGGTAGATCCCTCATGGCTTGCTGCTGTCTTTGAGATAGTGAGTTCTTGTGAGATCTGGTTATTTAAAAGTGTGTGGCATGTCCCTCCCCACACCCACTGACTCTCTCTTGCTTGTTCCTGCTTTGGCCACGTGATGTGCCTGCTCATGATTGTAAGCTTCCTAGGCCGCCTTAGAAACCAAGCAGATGCCAGCACCATGCTTCTTGTGAAGCCCGCAGAACAATGAGCCAATACAAATCTTTTCTTTATAAATTAACTTATCTCAGATATTTCTTTATAGCAACGCAAGAATGGCCTAATACGCCATCTTTGGAGACTAGCTGGCACATGGGCCTTCTCCATCTGTAGCTACACTTCTAGAACAGACATGGCTTCCAAGGCCACTGCAGCAGCTGGAGGAAGAGCTCAGGGTCCTGTGGGATGTTCCTCAGGCTCAGATCTGTGGTTCCACCCACATTCTATTGGCCATAATCTCGCTCCCTAGCCTCCACTTGACAGCAAGGAACCTAAGGGAAGGGATCTGCTGAGGACAATCTCTGCCACAAGGAGCAAGTGAAAGCAAGTAGAGAGGAAGCCAAGACTGATGCCCAAGTGGGAGAGGTGCTGAGGAGAGAGGTCTTTTTTTTTTTTTTTTGACAGAGTTCTGAATGTTTCAGAGTAGTCCAAGTGCACCCAAAAGCACAATAATTAAATGAGGGGCAGGAGAGTGGTTTAGAAGAAGATTGTTTTTCTGGATTCAGCTCCAACAAAGTTTGTCCTGCAGGTCTTGGTGCTGTGCCATGGTCCTTCTCGCCAATAATATTCAGCCTGGATACCCCGCTGTGGCTCTACCAGGGAGGAAAATATTTTCCTGCCACTGCCCTGAGCCTCCTGACTGACCCCAGCTGCCTTGCACATCCCAGCTTTTGGGACTACCCCAGACCTCCCTATAACCAGCAATCAGAGGCTGGCACAGCAAGGGTGCTTTGGAACCCTGCCTGGTGCTCCAGGGTGACAGGCAGCACCTGCTGTCATTGGTCAGTGTCTGTGCAGTATTTGCTAGAGTTTTGTGGATCTCAGCCTTGAAATCTGTGTCTTTCTACAGTCAAAGGATCTGAGTTGGGAGAAGGCACCTAGATATGCTCCACCATAGCGTTCTGGTGTTTCCTGTCATCTCTGAAGCCTCTGAGCTCTTATAACGGGGGCTTAAAGATGGTAGCATTGAGATATGAAGGCTTGTAGTTGTTGTCCAGTTCAGGGGACTTTAACTCCAGGTATCTGGAACTTAGAATAAATCCTCATGCCCTCACCATGGCAACAGGGCTCACCTCCTCTGTCTCATACCTCTCCCTCCCTTGGCCACTATTGCTACAGATATCCTGACCCTTTTACCTCTTTATCAAATAAGCCCACTCTGCCCCAGGGCCTTTGCATGGGCTTACTTTCCTCCAAGAATAATTTACTCCTGATATTTGCCTGACTAAATCCTTCTCACCTTTCTGATTGCAAAGAGGCTTCCTTGACAACTCATTCTGAAGCAGCTTTTCCCTCCAGTCTAGCTACTTTCTCTTTCGTTATTCTGTTTGATTTTATTTATAGCACTTAGCGCTGTATGACACTGTTTATTTTGAAATTGTTTATTTCTCTCTCCTCGATAATATAAGCCCAAAAAAGACAATGAATATGTTTTTGATTCTGTTTCTATCCCCTGGCCCTAGAATAGGGTCTGGGAGATAGTTGCAGCAGAATCCCTAGCTGAAATGGCAATCTTGTGCTAACTGGAAGAAAAGAGCTCCCTTGCCCCCATCCCTGTTTTTTTTTTTTTTTTTTTTTTTAGATGGAATCTCCCTCTGTTACCCAGGCTGGAGTGCAGTGGTGTGATTTCGAAGAGAGCCCTTTCTTGATATACTTTGTCATCTTCTGCTAGAAGTTTTTTATACTCATTATACAAACCCACCCTATCTGTGATGTACACACCCTGTATGGCCCTGCTTCCACCCCAGCAAAAATGCTTGTGGAATGAATGAATGGATTGGTGGAAGTCAGGGGGACTGGAACATCTGCAAACAAATGTCAGTGTGTGTGGCCAGTGTCTGTGCACCTTTCTTGATTGATTGAATCTTCTGTGCATTGATTTCATGGTATTGGGCACAGAATCCCCTTTTTTGCTCATTACCAACAAAGATTTGTCAAGCACCCACTCACTGTGTTCACTTGGGGAATTCAGACATGAACAAGACACAATTTCTTGATTTAAGAAGCTGAGATTCTAGAAGGCCAGGCAGTGATGTGAAAGATGGTGCATTCCAGGGTCATAACGGCTGCACTAGGAGCCAGCCCAGGGCTCTCCTGGAGCATAGGACACCTGTTCAGTGCAGAGGACTCAGTAAGTCTTTCTGGAGAAGTGATTGAGCTGGCTCTGCAGGATGGAGAGGTTTGAAAATTGCTAAGTGCTTTGTACAACTTATAAAAATCCACGTTGCCCAGTTTCCAAGCAGTCTCATGTTCAGTAGACAAAAGGCAATTTTCAAACTGAAATTCTTTACTTGCATTTCTATTTCTATTTTCCTTCCTTCCTTCCTTTCTTCCTTCCTTCCTTCCTTCTTTCCTTCCCCCACCCCACCCCCTGAGTCTTGCTCTGTTGTCCAGCAGACTGGAGTGCAGTGGTGTGATCTCGGCTCACTGCAACCTCCAACTCCTGGGTTTGAGTAATTCTCCTGCCTCAGCCACCTCTCTATCTTTCTGTAGCTGGGATTACAGACACATGCCACCATGCCTGACTAACCCAGATGGGGTTTCACCATGTTGGCCAGGCTCTTCTTGAACTCCTGACTTCAAGTGATCCACCTGCCTCTGCCTCCCAAAGTACTGGGATTACAGGTGTGGGCCACCGCGCCCGGCCCTTTACTTGCATTTCTTAAGTTGTGTGAAGTCAGTAGGGATTGTTCTCTAGAATTCCCTTTTACTCTCCTATCCACATTCCCCCAGATTGTAGTTCCCTCACCTCTTTCACACAATCTTACCTGCAAAACTCCACCCACAGCTTTCAATACCTCTCCCCACTTCTCTGCTCTTTATTGTGAAGACAAGCACAGTTTCTTCCTTTTGGGACCATTCCTCCCTGCTCTGGCTTTTCAGGTCTAATAATGTATCCATTCTCTATCACAAAAGCCAAGCTAGAATCCTCTTTGGAGCACAGCCCAGGTCAAGAAACTGCATAGATACAGCAGAGGGAGAAACGAGGTTCAGAACACTCATGCATTAATTGTTTTGATCTCATCACAGTTTCTTCCTTTTGTTTTTTTTTTCTGAGGTGGAGTCTTGCTCTGTCACCCAGGCTGGAGTGCAGTGGTGCCATCTTGGCTCACTGCAACCTCTGCCTCCCACACGCCACCATGCCTGGGTAATTTTTGTATTTTTAGTAGAGACAGAGTTTCACCATGTTGGCGAGGATGGTCTCAATCTCCTGACTTCATGATCTACCTGCCTCGGCCTCCCAAAGTGCTGGGATTACAGGCCTGAGCCATCACACCT
The DNA here is from genome assembly GCF_000001405.40 of Homo sapiens. Classification (NCBI taxonomy): domain Eukaryota; kingdom Metazoa; phylum Chordata; class Mammalia; order Primates; family Hominidae; genus Homo; species Homo sapiens. The sequence continues at coordinate 91,644,469 of NC_000002.12, forward strand.
GGCTGGCCTCATCACACTTTCTAAACGACTATTATTAACTCATTTCCCAGATGAGAAAACTGAAGCTCAGAAAGATCAAGCGACCTGCCCAATATCCCAAAGCTATTAAGTGCCTATTCTTCCTGCCTGCCATACTTCCCTTACCTCTGTCTTCCCCTTTGCCTACTTAACTGTGATTCAACCCAAAGAGAAATTTCCCCAGGAAAGCCTTTCCTAAACATCTTGCCTTGGCCAACCTCCCCAACTACTGTACACTTCGACAAGGCTGTGAACTTTCCCTTCACAGCCCTTGTCACATTTGTAATTGTTCATTTCCTTGGATTATTCCTGGGTTAAAGTCTATCTAGACTTTATGCATTTTTTTTTTTTTTTTTGAGACGGAGTCTGGCTCTGTCGCCCAGCCTGGAGTGCGGTGGTGTGATCTTGGCTCACTGCAAGCTCCGCTTCCTGGGTTCACGCCATTCTCCTGCCTCAGCCTCCCAAGTAGCTGGGACTATAGGCACCTGCCACCATGCTCAGCTAATTTTTTGTATTTTTGTAGAGAGGGAGTTTCACTGTGTTAGCCGGGATGATCTCAATCTCCTGACCTCATGATCCACCCGTCTCAGCCTCCCAGAGTGCTGCGATTATAGGCATGAGCCACTCTGCACAGCCTAGACTTCAAGCTTTTAGAATAGCGTGTCTCTCTCTCTCTCTCTCTCTCTCTCTCTCTCTTTCTCTGTCTCCCTCCCATTGTATAACCAGTGAGTAAAACAACATCTGGGACATGTCAGTACTTGCTAGATATTTACTGAATAAAAGAATGAATGACTGAAATTCAAACCCGTGTCTCCAAAATCCAAGTTCTTGTCTGACATCATGACTTGTTGTTCTCCAGGAGAACAGGAGACGTCTCTCTCTGTCTCCTAGGCTGAGATTGCAGTGGCGCAATCTCAGTTCACTGTACCCTCTGCCTCCTGGGCCCAAGTGATCCTCCCACCTCAGTCTCCCAAGTAGCTGAGATCATAGGCATGGACCACCATGCCTGGCTAATTTTTGTATTTTTAGTAGAGACAGGGTTTCGCCATGTTGGCCAGGCTGGTCTTGAGCTCCTGGCCTCAAGTGATCCACCTGCCTTGGCCTCCCCAAGTGCTAAGATTACAGGCACGAGCCACCATGCACAGCCATGCATATCTCCTTTATGTAACTTAACAACATCTGCAACGTTTGTTTGTGTGAGTTTTTTTATTCTGCCTGCATTTGTGTATGTGAGTCTTTTCCTATGGATTTTTCCCACCATGGCTGTAAGCACCATGAGAGTGAGGAAAATAGCTGTTTTGCTTTATCATATTTTCTCTGGTGCCTAACAAAGTACCTGGAACACAAGAGAGTCACTAATGGGATAAATACATGCATTAATGGGATTTGTCAATGAAGGGAAAAATTTAGTGCATTAGCTTGAATGAGGAGGTGGGTCCTACTGGCCTCTTGGGTAGAGGCCAGGGCTGCCACTAAACATTCTACAATATACAGGACAGCCTCCCACACCAAAAACTATACAGCTTAAAATGTCGATAGTGCTGAGGTTGAGAAATCCTGGTTTGACATATTATTCCTGTGTTAAAATTAATATATGTAAAATAATTTCCTCAGTTGTTAACATGGCATTTTTATCAAGCAATTTTGTTTTCTCTGAAATATACCTCAGATTGTTTTTAGTTTTTCCAGAGGAAACTTTATTCATCTTTTACTAGAGAAAAGAATATGGCAAACAGTGAATCTGTGTTTCAGGAAGGGTAACGTCGTTTTTCTTTTAATTTCCCTTTTGAAGCTCTCGGGGTGCTACCAACATCTTGGAAATCTGGATAATTTGAGTATTACTAAGGGAATAGTTTCATTCTACATGCTACAAATGTTTAATCATTTTATTTATCTAAAGCTCCTTTCTTGGCCAGGTGCGGTGGCTCATGCCTGTAATCCCAGCACTTTGGGAGGCTGAGGCGGGTGGATCACCTGAGGTCAGGAGTTGGAGACCAGCCTAGCCAAAATGGCAAAACCCTGTCTCTACTAAAAAAATATAAAAATTAACCGTGTGTGGTGGTGCGTGCCTGTAATCTCAGCTACTTGGGAGGCTGAGGCAGGAGAATTGCTTGAACCCAGGAGGTGGAGGTTGCAGTGAGCTGAGTTTTCACCACTGCACTCCATCCTGGGCAACAGAGCAGGACTTCTTCTCAAAATGAATGAATGAATGAAAGAAGGAGAGGGAAAGGAAGCTCCTTTCTCTTCTATTCCCAGTATTGCACCCCAAAAATAAGTAATCCATAAACCCCCAACGTATATTTCTGTTTTCTTAACTAGTTCTGAACAAAATGTTCAGTGTTGGCTGGGCATGGTGGCTCACGCCTGTAATCCTAGCACTTTGGGAGGCTGACGCTGAGGTCAGGAGTTTGAAACCAGCCTGGCCAATGTGGTGAAACCCCCTCTCTAGTAAAAATACAAAAATTAGCTTGGCGTGGTGACGTGTGCCTGTAATCCCAGCTACTCAAGAGGCTGAGGCAGGAGAATCACTTGAATCCTGGAGGCAGAGATTGCAGTGAGCCGAGATCGTTCCACTGCACTCCCGCCTAAAACTCCATCTCAAAAAAAAAGCAGGTGTTTTACTCTTAAAATAAGACATTAAAAAAATACTTCTGTTGTCTCCCCTCTTAGAACTGGTAATCTCTTCCTTCTCCACCCTCATCCCCTGCTGTGATTCTATATTGAAATATCATTGTATTTTGTGCCAGATGTCTTTGTATAAAACCAACTTAGTTCTGTGAGAAGAGTTGTACGTTTTTAATATTTTTGTTCTTTTTGTAGACTGCAGGAACAAAAATAGCCTTCCTATAGTAAGGTGGCAATTCACATTAAGAATGTAGATAAGCAAATTTAAACTTTTAAATGTAATTTGTCTAAAAAAATTGAAAAACAGTGTATAGTAAAAATCTCTCCTCCAACCAACGGAAAGTACTTTTATGTAAGATCCTTTAAGTTACTGACTTGAATCTTTACGTAAGGTAATTTGCTAGTATCTATTTTATAAATAATGTTATTTAATACTGTTTTATTTTCTATAGAATCCTGGTGTTTTTCCATGTAAATTTTTAAAAATTCTTAAAGTATGTATCCCTCATTTTCCCCTATAGTTGTTTGCTTCTACTTCTGTTTTTAAGAGATAGCATCTCAGTTGTTTAAGCTGGAATGCAGTAGCATGATCATGGCTTACTGCAACCTTGACTTCTTAGGCTCAAGCAGTCCTCCTGTCTCAGCCTCTAGAGTAGCTGGGATCACAAATGCATGCCACCATACCTGGCTAACTTTTCTTTTCTTTTCTTTTCTTTTTTATTTTTTTGAGATGGAGTCTCACACTGTCACCGGGCTGGAATGCAGTGGCGTGATCTCAGCTCACTGCAACCTCTGCCTCCTGGGTTCAAGTGATTCTCCTGCCTCAACCTTCCAAGTAGCTGGGATTACAGGTGCCCACCACCATGCCCAGTGAATTTTTTGTACTTTTTTTGATAGAGATGGGGTTTCACCATGTTGGCCTGGCTGGTCTCGAACTCTTGACCTTGTGATTTGCCCACCTCGGCCTCCCAAAGTGTTGGGACTACAGGCGTGATCCATCACACCCGGCCAACTTTTCTTTTTTTTTTTTTTTTTTAAGAGACAGGGTCTTGCTCTGTTGTCCAGGTTGGTCTCAATTCCTGGGCCCAAGCAATTCTCCCACCCGGGCCTGCCAAGGTGCTAGTATTATAGGCGTGAGCCACTGCACCCAGCCCTTTATAGTTTTTTTCTTTTTTTTGAGATGAAGTTTCCCTCTGTCACCAGGCTGGAGTGCAGTGGTGCGATCTCGGCTTACTGCAACCTCTGCCTCCCTGGTTCAAGCGACTCTCCTGCCTCAGCCTCCCGAGTAGCTGGGACTACAGATGTGTGCCACCACGCCCAGCTAATTTTTGTAGTTTTAGTAGAGACGGGGTTTCGCCATGTTGGCTAGGATGATCTCAATCTTTTGACCTCGTGATCCACCCGCCTCGGCCTCCCAAAGTGCTGGCATTACAAGCGTGAGCCACTGTGCCCAGCCAGCTCTTTATAGTTTAAGAGGAAGGATAAACCTTAAGAGATCACAACACTATATTTGTGTCAGGGATCCACAAGACTGCCTCCATGTTTGGAGATTTGCTAGAAGGACTCATGGGATCAGCTTAGGGTTGTAATGGCTAAGATTTATTACTGTAACATAGTATGGATATATAGTAGAAAGATCTCAATGGCAAAAGACACTGACAGAGTCTGGAAAAATCCATGTACCGGCTTCCTTATGTGCTGTGCCTTCCATGAGGATCACACAGACTACCTTCTTTCCCCCTTAATGAAAATACAACAACCTATGTGACTTCCCAAGAAACACAGTTTTTATCTTGGCTGGTCACATATGTGTACTCTGCCTAGCATGTGTGAAATTTCCAGACTCACAAAAAGAATAGCAGGATAAGCCACATTATTTCCATAGTCTAGATACAGTAAACCATGATTACCAGTTAGGGAACCCTCTTGAAATTCAAGTCCTCAGAAGCCAGCCTAGGACCAACTGTGCAGACAGACAGACCCTCCTTCACAGGATAATATAATAGTCTCAGATCTGCGTTGTTAATTTTTGTTTGCATAGAGTTTTATAATTGGAAGGTGTCTTAAATGCTACATATTTCTGTCTAATGGACTTTAGTAAGAGTGTTGTATAGTATACAACATGGAATTATTCTCCATTATAGGCAGGCTGTGATAAGTGTTCTAATGTTTATACAAAAGAACTCTGTAACTTTGAGCAGAGTAAAGAGAGTGTTAACGATACTTTTGACTGCAAATAGTGGAAAAATGTTGTGTTTAACTCTGAAATATGCTTTGCCTGATATTAGTATTTCTACTCTAGCTTTCTCTTGACTAGCGTAAGCATGGTATATATTATTCCATTCTTTTATTTTAACCTGTTTGCATCTTTGTATTTAACTTGTGTTTCTTGAAGGCGATAGTTTTATTTCTCTGATAAAAACATATAAGAAGACAATCACATTAAATGTATATGGTCTAAAACCTCTGCTTTTTAATTGGGGGTATTTAGACCATGTACATTTAATATGATTGTCTTCTTATATGTTTTCTATTTATCTCTATCTGTTCCTTGCATTTTTCTTGCATCCCCCACCTGCCAAGATGGGGTCTTGCTCTGTCACCCAAGCTAGAGTGCAGTGGTGTGATCATACCTTACTGCAGCCTTGACCTGCTAGGCTCAAGTGATGTACCTCAGCCTCCCAATAGTGGAGACCACAGTTGTGCACCACCATACCCGGCTACTTTATTTTTTTATATATGGGGTCTCACTATGTTGTCCAGGCTGGTCTCATACTCCTGAGCTCAAGTGAGTCTCCTGCCTTGGCCACCCAGAGTGCTGGGATTACAGGTGTGAGCCATTGCACCTGGTCTTCTTGCATTCTTTTACTTTATTTATTTTTTTTTTTGAGAGAGAGTCTCGCTCTGTTGCCAGGCTGGAGTGCAGTGGCGCTATCTCGGCTCACTAGAGTCTCCGCCTCCTGGGTTCAAGCGATTCTCCTGCCTCAGTCTCCTGAGTAGCTGGGATTACAGGTGTGCACCACCACACCCAGCTAATTTTTGTATTTTTAGTAGAGACGGGGTTTCACCATGTTGGCCAAGATGGTCTCGATCTCCTGACCTTGTGATCCGCTTACCTCGGCCTCCCAAAGTGCTGGGATTACAGGCGTGAGCCACCGTGCCCAGCTTATATTATTTATTATGATTCCAGTTTGCCTCCTTTTATTACTTTTACCTATTTTTAAAAATTATTTTTGTGGTTCCTTTAAGATTATAGTGCACATTTAGAGAGGTCTACCTTCAAGTAATATTGTACACTTCATCTATAATAAAAGCATTCCTTCATTTACTTTCTTTTCCTCCCTCCTGCACTTTGTGCTATTGCTGCCATGCATTTGACTTTTACATATGTCATAAACTCTGTAATATTTTGCTGTTTTTTTATTAAACATGTATCTCTTAGAGATTTAAATAATAAAAAATTTAAAAGATGTTTGCTCATATAGTTACCACTTTGGTGCTCTTTATTCCTTAGTATTGATCCAGATTTTCATCTGACATCATTTTGTTTCTGAAGAATATCCTTTAACATTTCTTGCAGTGAAGGTCTCCTGGTGATGAATTATTTCATTATTTATGTTTCTGGTGTGTCTTTATTTCACCTTCATTTTTGAAAGATATTTTTGCCAGGCATAGAATTCTAGTTGGCCTTTTTTCTTCTAGAACTTTAGAGATGTACCGCTGTCTTCTCACTTGCATTGTTTCTCAAAAGAAATCTGATGTTGTTCTTATCTTTGTTCTTCTATAGGTAACATGTCTTTTTATACACCTGCTATTAATAATGTTTCCTTGATTTTGAACAATTTGATTATGTTATCCCTTAGTGTAATTTTCTTCATGTTTCTTGTGCTTGGGGTTTGCTGAGTTTCTTGGATCCGTGAGTTAATAGGTCTTCTTATGGCTAGAACATTTTCAGCAGTTGTTTCTTCAAGTATTTTTTTCTCTTTCTTTTTTTTCTCCTTTGGGAACTCCAGTTACCTGCATATTATTAGGCCATTTGAAGTTGCCTGACTGCTCACTGATGCTTTTTAAAAATCACTTTTTAAGATTTTTTTTTCTTTTTGTACTTTAGCTAGTGTCTGTTCTTGTATCTTCAAGTTTGCTAATCTTTTCTTCTGCAGTTTCTAATCTGCTTTAGTTCATCCAATGTAATTTTCATCTCAAATGTTTTTGTCTTTGAAAGTTTGATTTTGGCTTTTCTTGTTTATCTCCCATGTCTCTATTTAATGTTTTGATTATATGAGATACATGTATAAAAACAGTTTTAATGTCCTCCTCTGCTAATTTTAACATCTATTTAAGTTCTGGGTCAGTTTTGATTGATTATTTTCAGTTTGCATCATGATTGTCTGCTGCTTTTTATGCCTGGTAATCCTCATTTAGTTGTAAAATTTACCGACAAAAGCAAAGTGACAAAAGGAGATAGGAAATATCATGAAAACAATTTCTCTAAAAAAAAAAACTTATGATGCCTAATCCCCTGAATAAAGACATTTAAGCCTTTCTTGCTTCATATTTAGACAAAAATCTTCCTGCTTATGTTCCTATTTCATCTCTGAAAACAGTGTAAGCAACCAGTTGTCCGAGGCACCATTCTTGGACAGTAATAATGTGCTGTCCTTAGTATATGAAGATGTAATTACTGTAGTAGCAACAAAAACCTAAGCTTTTGGATTGGATTCTGTTTTGGTTTTATTTTCTTCTACCACTACAATAAATGACACATAATCTTTCACTCTTAACGATAAATGGTGCATAATTTTAAGACAATTATGTGGAATTCAGAGAGAAATTCATACTCATGGAACACGATTTATATTCTGTGAAGTGTTAACAATGACTTAATGAATGAACACGTAATCTGATTTAACTAACACCATCTTATTAATTGATATTACATACACAGATCAAAATTTTGTAATATACTGAACAGGACTTAACAGAAAACTACATATATGTAAGTGATTAATAATCTTTCAATACGATGATGAAGCCAACAGAAAACTATAAAAACTATATTTGAGAAAGATGGAAAGTGGTAATAGGAGTATATATGTTCTCCAATTCTAAATTAGAGAAAATCTTACGAGTCAGCAAGTTAACACTTAATTTGATTATTTTTGATGTTACCAGCCCCAGAAATAGCATTCTGAAACAGATTACAGGCTTTCTTCTTTCTATTTGTTGATACATCAACTACCACAACTCACCTTTCATTTTGTTGCTAAATTTTCAGAATAAAGTGTGTGTGTGTGTGTTAAAATTCTCCTGCTAAAATAATCTTTCTATGTTCTTACATATTTAGGTTTGGAATATGGTTCATGATGGCAGAATTGTCCAGGTCAATATAGTAAAATACTCTGACCAAGACAGTAGGACCCAGACTCAAGCTGGGGAAGAGATAAATAAGCTCAGTTAAAAAGAAAAAGAGGGCCAGGAATGGTGGCTCACACCTGTAATCCCAGCACTTTGGGAGGCCAAGGCGGGCAGATCACCTGAGGTCGGGAGTTCAAGACCAGGCTGACCAACATGGAGAAACCCTGTCTCTACTAAAAAATACAAAATCAGCTGGGTGTGGTGGTGCATGCCTGTAATCCCAGCTACTCGGGAGGCTGAGGCAGGAGAATCGCATGAACCCGGGAAGTGGAGGTTGCGGTGAGCCAAGATCATGCCACTACTGCACTCCAGCCTGGGCAACAAGAGCAAGACTGTCTCAAAAAAAAAAAAAAAAAAAAAAAAGAAAGAAAGAAAAAGAAAAAGAGGTTGGGCATAATGTCTCAAGCCTGTAATCTTATCACTTTGGGAGGTCAAGGCAGGAAGATGGCTTGAGTCCAGGAGTTCAAGACCAGCCTGGGCAACACACTGAGAATCCATGTCTACAAAAAACTAAATAACTTAGCAGAGCAGGGTGGTGCACACCTGCAGTCCCAGCTACTTGGTTGGGAGGCTGAAGTGGGCAGATCACTTGAGCCAGAGAGGTTGAGGCTACAGTGAGTCATGTTTGTACAACTGCACTTCAACCTGGGCTACAGAGCGAAATCTTGCCTTAAAAAAGAAAGAAAAGAAAAAGAAAAAAGAGAAGAAGAAAAGAAGAAAGAAAAGAAACTTGCTGCATAGACATGACCACATTCATTTGAAAGCAAGTTAGTAAATATGTATCCTGAAAAGATAGTTTAGAAAAGAAACTTACAGACCATGAACAGAGTGATTATAAAACATTCTCTTAACAGTTAGCAGGTGGAATAAAAAGTGTATTCTTTAAAATGATTTCATTACTAGTAAATAGTTCTATAAGGAAAAGTAGGGGGAAAAAGGCAAAGAAATATGAAACTAAGTCAATGAAAAGCAAATAGGCTATGATCACACATCTAAAGGCCATGAATATGGCAAAGAGTATTTTAAAGAATCTAAAAAGTGTACTTTGAATTTTAAAGTATTTTAAGAGATTAATTTTATAAAAGGAAAAACAGTGTTATCACGCAGAAGGACCATATTTAGTATAATCAAAAGTTTAAGAAATTGGCCAGGCGTGGTGGCTCACACCAGTAATATCAGCATTTTGGGAGGCTGAGGCGGGTGGATCGGATCACCTGAGGTCAGGAGTTCAAGATCAGCCTCGCTGACATGGCAAAACACCACCTCTGCTAAAAGCACAAAAATTAGCCAGGTGTGGTGATGCACACGGGTAATCACAGCTACTTGGGAGGCTGAGGCATGAGAATTGCTTGAATCTGGGAGGCAGAGGTTGCAGTGAGCCACGATCATGTCACTGCACTCCCGCCTGGGCAATAGAGCAAGATTCTGTCTCAATCAAAAAAAAAAAAAAAAAAAGAGTTTAAGAAATTAAGGAAAGCTGAGTGTAATGAAACCTTTTCAAGGGTAGTAGTGGTATAGCTCAAACCTGGTTTGAATTCCAGCTTTGTCACTTACTGAGTAAGTAAGTAGCAGCCTTAAGCCCAACTGGTGTTTGCTATTTGCACGTATTTTCATAAATAAAAGTGGTCTGTAATGTTTTTACAGTGTTGTCAAACTTCAAGATTATTAAAACTATTAATATCCTGTTTAATGTTTAAGAATAAATAACTATTTGATATCTTTTAACTACTGTCCTATCACTGACTTTTAAGACTCTTACTGACAATTTTGTGATTTTTTCATGTAATCATCCTTTATATCTTACTTAGCAAGTTCTCTATTAGACATATGTCTGCTGAATGAAACTCAATTACAGATATTTTTGAACATTTATTAAATTTAAATTATATTTGTACTTGTAAGAAATATTTAAACAATGCTTTGTTTTTCTAAAATAAAAGAAAACTAATAGCACAAACCTTCATTTTCTAAGTGTGTCAAGTTGTTTTGTTTTTTTTATTTGCTTGTGTGTTTGTTTTTTGAGACTGAGTCTCCCTCTGTCGCCAGGCTGGAGTGCAGGGTGTGAGCTCAGCTCACTGCAACTTCCAACTTGCTGGTTCAAGTGATTCTCCTGCCTCAGCCTCCCAAGTAGCTGGAATTACAGGCATGTGCCCCTACGCTCGGCTAATTTTTTTTTTTTTTTGTATTTTTAGTATAGACCGAGTTTCACCACGTTGGCCAGGATGGTCTCCTCCTGACCTCGTGATCCACCCGCCTCGGCCTCCCAAAGTGCTGGGATTACAGGTGTGAGCCACTGTGCCTGGCCTATTTTAACTGTTTTATGTCTTCTGGTTTCATGTGACAATGAAATGAGTTAATATTTCCTGCCTGCACCAACCACATTTAGGCTCTACCTTAATTGTTGATGAGGTCTTGGAGCCTCCCTTCTGCTCCCAGAGGCTTTTCTTGCTCATGTCTCCAGCCACAATATCCTGGGGGCAGCAGAAGGGTATGTCACAAGGGCAGACCCCTGGATCTTGGGGAGTAGAAGCCCTGGGCCCTTCTCTCCTGCCTTGCCTTACCTGGCCAGGGGGCCTGGGATCTGCCTACCAAAACTTTTTCTGTGCGATCCCAGTGGAAGAAGCAGGGAAAGGAATAAAGGTGCCATCCACCTCCACTCGGACAACACAGCCTTCTACACCAGCAAGGGTGAACCCAACCCTACTGCAATACCTCAGGGTTCTGTCTGCCCACATTCATCCTGGACAGTCCCACGCTTGTCTTAACAAGGAAACCTGGCCTGCTACTAAACTCCCCGGTGCTGGCTCTGCAGCCCAGCCTTGCCCCTGGAGGGGACCTTACCTTGCAGGATGGAGTCTTGGCCGCAGACTGAGCCTGTACTTCACCCGTCTCCCACCAACTCTTGGTACTGGACGCAGCCATGCTGGGCAGCTCTATGGAGGCCTGGCGGGCTAGCTTGGGGGTCTGGCCAGCAGTCTGCAGAGGAGGAAAAGCATCAGGATTACCTTAGTGGACAGCCACCGTGGTCACATCAAAGGGTCACACTGGGCAACCCTCTGCTTTGTGTTTGTGTTTTCCCTGGGAGCGATTTCCCAATGCAGCCCTAGAGTGGGGATCACTGGAAAGATGTGCCTTCCTCCATTCAATGCAATTGTGAGACACCTCCCTTTCCTGAAGAGCATCAGGGAGATGATGGCGCACAAGACAGATGTGGGTCTGCCTCCATGCTGCTCATGGGGTAGGGCTGGGGGACCATGGGATGGATGGAGGGACATTGAATGGATGGAGGGACAGTGGTTAAATTGCAGAGTATTGGTTGGATGGAGGAGCATTGATTAGATGGAGGACTATTGGTTGTATAGAAAGGTGTTGATGAAGGAATATTGATTGGATGGAGGAGTACTGATTATATGAGGGAGTATTTGTTAGATGGAGGGGCACTGATTGAATGCAGTAGTAGCCGCGTGGCTGGGGGCTGCTGGGCCTCGTTCCACATGGGGAGGCAGAGCCTGGGGTGCAGGGGCCCTCATGCTCACTCACGCTCCCACTCACGATCCAGCCCCTCCAAATGGAGGGCGGCGCAGAGCTGGGGCAGAGTATTGAGGAGGTGGAGGGGTTCCACGGAGGAGAAGCCTGGCCATGTTGCTCCCCATGTTCCCATGTCCCAGCCCCTCCATGTGAGCAAGGTCTCAGCTGGGGTGTGTGTCCTTGGGCCTGGGGCATGAGATGGAGCCCAAGCTCCTCCTTGGACCTGGGCTTCCAATGGGTCCAGGGCCCTCACTCCAGCTCCACAGACCCCCTCCACCAAGCCATGGGGGGGCGTGGCTTGGAAGCACACATTGGCACAGAGACCCCAGAAGCCCGTGTGCACACGTTTCCTTAGGTCCACCCCTAAGGGCAACGAGTCCGGGCCCCAACAGCCCCATAAAGGCCCTCACTCTGCTCACAGCTCATGCCCAACACATGGAGTGTGGCCGGGCGCGGGACTCCCTAGGCCTGGGGCACATGCAGGTGCACACCCAACTCACACACATTCTCCACGAGCCCACGCTCCGGCCACACAGGCACACATGCCTGCACCCCATGCTCATACAAATATGCACGTGCTCACACACGGGAACCCTTGACATCCACGTGCATGTGCAGACAGGCTTGGGAACAAGGGGACCACGTCCCCCTCCAGGGATCCCTTCAGGGTGCTGCAGCCTCACTTTAGTGAGGCAAACATTGACTGTTTGCCTTGCCATGGCCCCGACAACGGCGGTGCCGGCCCTGGCACGAGGCCCAGGTGTGTACTCTGGGAACATCATCCATGCAGAGCTGGGCCCCTGGAGGATCACTCTGACTGAGCTCTCCCTGGCTAGGGGCCTGGGGGACAGAGTGGGGATGCAGAGTAAGCATCTCCTGGTGTCTCCCCTAAAACCCAGTGCTGGGGAGAAGCCCCGCCAGCCCCTGGCCTCTGACCCAGCAGAGCTGAGAACGTGGAGGCCTCTGGGCCCCTTCTCCGTCTCCTCCCTTTCCCCTCCCCCAGGATATGAGTCATGCGGGCCCCCTCCCCATGACCTCACCGCATCACTATTCCACAGCTGGGCTCCGTTCTGGGAACTGAAAGGGGGGCAGCTCTCCTGGGGTGGGGTGGGGGCCTCTGGCCTGGGAAAGGCGCCCCCCGGCCAGCGGCCCAGGCCCCTTGGCATGCACCACGGAGCTGTCAGGACTCTGGGATGGCCGACCCTGCCTGTGGCCCCGGCTCAGCCCCGTGCAGCTGCGAGGGATTTGGTGTTCCTGCGCAAATGCAATTAGGCCATTTCCTATGTCTGTTCTGGCTCCGAAGTCCAAGGTTCAGCCCAAGCAGCCAGGCGGTTACGGGGGGGCTCCATCCACCTCCCACCCCAGCACACACCCCCACCCTCACAGTCCCAGGCTCCACTTCGGGGCCTGGCCCCCAGCCAGGGACACCAGTATGCACAGAACCCTGAAGGATGCCTCGTTCTGAGTGGAGCTCCCCAAGCTCAGGTCTGTTCCTGTCGGCCTCGTCCACTGCCAACCACCCCCGACTCGGGACACTGGCCCTTCTTCTCCTTCCTCCACAGACCTCCCCACCTCTACCTCCCAGTCCCCACTGAGGGCCTGACAATGCCCATCTTCGGCCCAGCACTCCCAGCTACCCATTGCCGTCCTTCCCCTGCCTGGAAGTGCAGACACTTCCAGAATGGGTGTCCGGCTCGGTCCCCGTCCTGACTCTGCTCCCTACAGGCAGCTCCTGTGGCTGCCCCACCCAGCTGTCCTGAGCCCAGAGGTCGGCTGGAGAGGGTCGGTCCTCTCTGGGGTCCTGGGGAGTCAGGAGGCTCTGGTGAAGAGCAAGGGCTGCAGGGAGGATGTCGAGGGGAGGAGGAGCTTCTCCTCCAGGCCTGACCACAGGTCTCCTGGACACCACAGGGAGCTGGCGGGAGGACTGGGGAGTTGGGCAGGGCCTTCCACCAGGGTGGTTCGGGACTCCCTGCACAGCACTGAGGTCTCTGGTCCCCTCATTAGCCCAGCCTCCCGTGGGATCATAGACTTGAACCCTCAAGTCACTGCAGAGCCCAAGAGTGGAGAGACACAGCACCGTGTGCCGGGAAAAGGTGCCCACAGGGGCCCTTCATGGCTGAGGCTTCCAGAGGGTAGTGGGACGGCAACCCCGCTCCCCACCAGCCGCCCACCACAGCATTCATGATACAGCTTCGGAGTGTGGGTCGGGGTCTATCTGGGAAACCAGGGCAAAGGCGGTGGCAGCTGGCAGCACCCACACCCACAGCTGGGGCACTGCTCACATGAGCCCCCATCAGCAGGCCCCTTGGTTGTGCCACAGGCAGGGGTCCTGCCCCAGGGAGGGGGTAGTCCGTGGGGGGGGGCTCGAGGGTGTGGCACAGGCCAGCTGTCACTCCTCCCTGGAGAGGCAGCTGGGGACGCAGCTGGGAGGGGAGCCAGGAGCAGAGACAGCCCGGGGCCAGCAGGTGGGTGACAGGTGGGGCAGCGGGAGGGGCACGTGCTGTCCTCCTGGGGCTGGGGTATAGAGACGGGAACCTGCCCCCCAATGCCTGGTGCTGGCCCAGCCTCCCCCCGGGGCCTCTAGCACCTTCCCAGTTGTGTCTGCACCCTCCTGGGCGTGGCGGGGGAGGGTGGGGGTCAACCCCTTTCCTTGTAGTCCCGCGCCAGTGGGCAAGGGAGACGCCCCAGTGAGCAGGAGCCTAGCCTCTCTGCCTGGGGAGGCCAGGTGATGAGCCACCCGGAGTGGGAGGAGGCCTTGAACTTGGGTCTGAAAGATGAGCAGGGGTTTGCTGGGCCGGGTACAGGCAAAAGCTAATGCAGGAAGGCAGAGAGCAGGAGCGCTTAGAGGGAGTGGCTCTGTGCAGCCGGAGTCAGATGGGTGACCCTCACTCAGGAGGAAGCACTGGGACCCTCTCTCCTCACGCTGGGTCCCCCGCCTCCCTCTAGGATCCCCACACCCAGGTCCTTCTGGGCCTCTGCCACACAGATCAGGTCTGGAAGGCTCCCTGGAGGAGGCGGCGCCTAGACTTGGACATAGGCCTGCAGAGCTGATTTCTCTCACAACCCTGGGAAGACAGAACTCCTCAGCGGGTTGATGTGGAGGAGAGCGGAGCCTCCCTCCAAGGCACCAGTCCAGTGCTGGGGGCGACACAGAGAGCCAGAAGCTGGCGGGGGTGGGAGGCTCTGCCCCCCAAGGGCTTTACATGCCGAAGCCCCATGGCCGAGCTGGGACCCAGGGTCAGCCCAGGCAGGCCGCGAGAAAGGAGACTGTGGGCCCCACCCCATCACAGAGGGAGGAGGTGCTGTGCCCGCTGGGGGGGCAGCTGCCCCTCTCTGGGCCCTTTGGGTGGGAAGAGGCTTGGTGAGGTAGAAAGCCCAGCCCCTGCCAGCAGCGTTGCCTTCTCACAGTGGCAGCCCTTTGTAACCCGGGGGGGTCCCTGCAGGGCCTCTCCCTGTCTTCTCACCATGGGGCAGCATTTGGGGGCCTCTTGAGGGACCCCCTAGATGCTTCTACTCAGAGCCCCCAAAGCCAAGGAGCCTCCACTCCTCCGTCTGCAGCCTCCCCTGCCGGTTCTTGCTACCCAGGGTTCAGTGGCCTGGGGGCTGACAGAGGGGGTCGCCTCTGCCAAGGCCCCTCCCGGCGCCTCCCTGGCTCATCCAGCCCACCTTCCTCCCACGCTGGCTCACGCAAAGTGCTCTGGTCACCAGGAGCCCTTCCTGACCAGCCCCGGCCCCTTCTTGGCCTTCGCCCCACCTGGCCTCCCCTGGATCCCTGACCTGGGTGCCGGGCCTGCTGGGTCCAGAGCCCACCCCGCCCTGAACAACCCCGAGCCTCAGCCACCCTCAATTCTTACCCTTTCACAGCTGGGGAGTGGAGTCTGGGCCTGAGGTCTCCCGTGCGCCTCTCGGCGCCTGCGCCCGCGCTGTGCACCGCCCCGCGCCTGCGCCCGCGCTGTGCCTTTGCGAGGGCGGAGCTGCGTTGTGCTCAGCACAGACTCGGAGAGCATCGCGAGGGCGGAGCAGTGTTCTCCTTGGCACAGACCCGGGCGGGCCAGGGGCACCGCGAGGGCGGAGCTGCGTTCTGCTCAGCACAGACCAGGGGGACAACGTGAAGGCAGAGCAGCGTTCTCCTCAGCACGGACCTTGGGGGCACTGCCTCGCTTTGGGACAACTCGGGGCCGCATCGACGGTGAATAAAATCCTTCCTGTTTGCAGCCCTGAATAATCAGGGTCAGAGACCAGTTAGAAGGGTTCAGTGTGGAAAACAGGAAACCAAAAGCCCCTCTGAATCCTGCCCACCGAGGTTCTCCCCAGCCAAGGTGAGGCGGCCACAGTGCGAGATCCACACCGCAGCCTCGGAAGACAAATGCAGCATTCCTAATGCAGACATGACACTCAAAATATGACACCCCCCTTGCTCATGTAACAAGCACCTGTAGTGCTAATGCACTGCCTCGACACAAAAACATTAATATAAGATCCACAATCCCCTCGCTGCCGTGCAGTCCTAAGACAGCGATCATAATAATCAACATTGACATAGTCAATACAAACGTAGTAACGAACCTAGGGTTAAGGTTGGTGTTAGGGGTTAAGTTTAGGGTTAGGGGTTGGAGATAGTGGTTGGGGTCAGAGTTAGGGGTTAGGAGTCAACATTTAGAGTTAGGGGTTAAGAGAGGTTGGGGGTTAGGGATTAGGGGTTAGGGTTGGGTTAGGGGGAGGGTGAGAGTTGTGGTTAGGGGTTAGGGTTAGGGATTAGGGTTAAGGTTAGGGGTCAGGGTCAGGGGTCCCACTCTGTTGGCTATTTACTCTACTGACTGTTCCCTTTGCCATGCAAAAGCTCTTTAGTTTAATTAAGTCCCAGCTATTTATCTTTGTTTTTATTGCATTTGCATTTGGGTTCTTGGTCATGAAATCCTTGCCTATGCCAATGTCTAGAAGAGTTTATCCAGTGTTATCTTCTAGAATTTTTATAGTTCAGGAATTAGGTTTAAGTTTTTAATCCATCTTGAGTAGATTTTTGTATAAGGTGAGAGATGAGAATCCAGTTTTATTCCCCTACATGTGGCTCGCCAATTATCCCAACATCATGTGTTGAAAAGGGTGTCCTTTCCCCACTTTATTTTTTGCTTACTTTGTCGAAGATCAGTTGGCTGTAAGTATTTGGGTTAATTTATGGGTTCTCTCTTCTGTTACATTAGTCTATGTGCGTATTTTTAAACCAGTACCATGCTGTTTTGGTAACTATGGCCTTATTGTACAGTTTGAAATCAAGTACTGTGATGCCTCTAGGTTTGTTCTTTTTGCTTAGCCTTGGTTGGGCTACATGGCTCTCTTTTGGTTCCATATTAATTTTAGAATTGTTTTTGTAATTCTGTGAAGAATGATGGTGGTATTCAGATGGGGATTGCATTGAATTTGTAGATTGCCTTTAACAGAATGGTAATTTTCACAATATTGGTTCTACCCATCCACGAGCATGGGGATGCGTTTCCATCTGTTTGTGTCATCTATGATTTCTTTTCTTTCTTTCTTTTTTTTTTTTCTTCAGAGGGAGTTTCGCTCTTGTCGCTGAGGTGGGAGTGCAATGGTGTGATCTCGGCTCACTACAACTTCTGCCTCCCAGGTTCAAGCGATTCTCCTGCCTCAGCTTCCCGAGTAGCTGGGATTATAGGCATGTGCCAACATGCTTGGCTCCAACTATGATTTCTTTCAGCAGTGTTTTGTAATTTTCATCGTAGAGGTCTTTTGATTCCTTTGCTAGGTATATTCCTAAGTTTTTTTTTTTTTTTTTTTTTTTTTTTGCAGCTATTGTAAAAGGGGTTGAGTTCTTGATGTGATTCTCTGCTTGGTAGCTGCTGATGTATAGAAGAGCTACTGATTTGTGTACATTAATCTTGTATCTGGAAACTTGGCTGAATTCTTTTATCAGTTCTAGAAGCTTTCTAGAGGAGTCCATAGGGTTTTCAAGGTGAAAGATCTTATCGTCGGCAACCAGTGATAGTTTGACTTCCTTTTTACCGATTTGGATTTCCTCTGTTTCCTTCTTTTGTCTGATTGTTCTGGCAAGCACTTCCAGTACTATGTTGAAGAGGACTGGTGAGAGTAGGCTCCTCATCTTGTTCTAGTTCTCAGAGAGAATGCTTTCACCTTTTCCCCATTCAGTATTATGTTGGCTGTGGGTTTGTCATAGACGGGTTTTATTACATTAAGGTATGTCCCTTGTATGCCTATTTTGCTGAGAGCTTTAATCATAAAGCAATGCTAGATTTTGTCGAATGCTTTTTCTGCATCTGTTGATATAATCATTTGAGTTTTTTTTAATTCTGTTTATTTGGTATATCACATTTATTGACTTGCATATGTTAAACCATTCCTGTATCACTGGTATGAAACCCACTTGATCATGGTGGATTATCTTTTTGATATGTTGTTGGATTCAGTTAGATAGTATTTTGTTAAGGATTTTGGCATCTGTGATCATCAAGGATATTGGTCTGTAGATTTCTTTTTTGGTTATGTCCTTTCATGGTTTTGGTATTAGGGTGATGCTGGCTTCATAGAATGAATCAGGGAGGCTTTCTTGTTTCTCTGTCTTGTGGAATAGTGTGAAAGGATTGGTGTCATTTCTTCTTTGAATGAAAGAAGACATTCTTTGAATGTCTGGTAGAATTCTGCTGTGAATCTGTCTGGTCCTCGGTTTTTTTTGTTGGTAATTTTAAAATTACAATTTCGATCTTGCTGCTTGCTTTATTGGTCTGCTTGAGGTATCTACTTCTTCCTGATTAAGCTAGGAGGGTTGTATTTTTCCAGGAATTTATCCAACTCTCCTAGGTTTTCTAGTTTATGTGCCAAAAGGTGTTCATAGTACCCTTGAATAATCTTTAATATTTCAGTAGTGTCAGTTGTAATATCCGCTGTTTCATTTCTTAGTGAGGTTATTTGGATTTTCTCTCTTCTTTTCTTGGTTAATCTTGCTAATGGTCTATCAGTTTTATTTATCTTTTCAAATAACCAACTTTTTGTTTTATTTATGTTTTGTATTTGTTGTTGTTGTTGTTGTGTCAATTTCATTTAGTTCTGCTCTGATCTTGGTTATTTCCTTTGTTTGCTGGGATTGGGTTTGGCTTGTTCCTGCTTCTCTAGTTCCCTGAGATGTGAACTTAGATTGTCTGTTTGTGCTCTTTCAGACTTTTTGACATAGGTGTTTAGGGCTACAAACTTTCCTCTTCGCACTGCCTTTGCTGTCTCCCAGAGGTCTGGGTAGGTTGTGTCATCCAGTTCGAAGAAATTTTTTACATTTCCATCTTGATTTCATTTTTCACCCAATGCTCATTCAGGAGCAGGTTATTTAATTTCCATGTATTTGCATGGTTTTGAAGATTCCTTTTGGAGTTGATTTTCAGTTTTATTCCACTGTGATCTGAGAGAGTGCATGATACAATTTCAATTTTCTTAAATTTATTGAGACTCGTTTTATGGCCTATCATATGGTCTATCTTGGAGAAAATTCCATGTGCTGTGGAATAGAATGTGTATTCTGTGATTGTTGATGAAATGTTCTGTGTATATCTGTTAAGTCCATTAGTTCCAAAGTATAGTTTAAATCCAGTGTTTCTTTGTTGACTTTCTGTCTTGATGACCTGTCTAGTGCTGTCAGTGGAGTATTGAAGTCCCCCACTATTATTGTGTTGCTGTCTATCTCATTTCTTATGTCTACTAGTAATGGTTTTATAAATTTGGGAGCTCCAGTGTTAGGTTCATGTATGTTTAGGATTGTCATATTTTTCTGTTGGATGAGACCTTTACCATTATATACTGTCTGTCTTTGTCTCTTTTAGCTACTGTTGCTTTAAAGTTTGTTTTGTCTCATATGAGAATAGCTACTGCTGCTCGCTTTTGGTGTCCATTTGCATGAAATGCCTGTTTCTACCACTTTCCTTAAGTTTATGTAAGTCATTATGTGTTAGGTGAGTCTCCTGAAGGCAGCAGATAGTTAGTTGGTGAGTTCTTATCCATTCTGTGGTTCTGTATCTTGTCAGTGGAGCATTTAAGCCATTTACAACCAACATTAGTATTAAAAAGTGAGGTACCATTGCTTTCATCATGCTCTTTGTTGCCTCTATACTTTGTTTTTTTTTTGTTTTTGCTTTTTAACTTGTATTTTTGTTTTATAGCTCTTGTGTGATTTATGCTTTAGTGAAGTTCTGTTTTGATGTGTTTCCAGAATTTGTTTCATGATTTAGAGCTCCTTTTAGCAGTTCTTACAGTGCTGGTTTGGTAATGGCAAATTCTGTCAGCATTTGTTTGTCTGAATATGACTGTATCTTTCCTTCATATATGATGTTTAGTTTTGCTGGATACAAAATTCTTGGCTGATAATTGTTTTGTTTGAGGAGGCTGAAGAAAGTGCCCCAATTCCATTTAGCTTGTAAGGTTTCTGCTGCAAAATCTGCTGTTAGTTTGATAGGTTTTCCTTTATAGGTTACCTAGTGCTTCTGTCTCACAGCCCTTAAGATTATTTCCTTTGTCTTAACTTTGGATAACCTAATGACAATGTGCCTAGGCTAAGATCTTTTTGTGGTGAATTTCCCAGGTGTTATTTGTGCTCCTTGTATTTGGATGTCTAGGTCTCTCACAAGGCCACGGAAGTTTTCCTTGATTATTCCCCCAAATACATTTTCCTGGCTTTTAGAATTCACTTCTTCCTCAGGTACACCAATTAATCTTAGGTTTCATTGTTTAACAGAATGCCAGACTCCTTGGAGGCTTTGCTCATATTTTCTTGTTCTTTTTTCTTTGTCTTTATTGGATTGGGTTAAATCAAAGACCTTGTCTTCGAATTCTGAATTTCTTTCTTCTACTTGTTCAATTCTATTGCTGAGACTTTCCAGAGAATTTCACATTTCTAAAAATGCGTCCAAAGTTTCCTGATTTTTTATTATTATTATTATTATTTATTTAAGCTATTTCCTTGACTGTTTCTCCCTTTGCTTATTGTATCATTTTTTGGATTTTCTTGCATTGGGCTTCACCTTTCTCTGGCCCCTCCCTGATTAGCTTAATAACTAACCTGAATTCTTTTTCAGATAAATCAGTGATTCCTTCTTTGTTTGGATCCATTGGTGATGAACTGGTGTGATTATTTGGGGGTTGTTGAAGAGTCTTGTTTTGTCAGATTACCAGGGTTGGTCTCCTGGTTCCTTCTCATTTAGGTAGACTCTGTCAGAGGAAAGTTCTAGGGCTGAAGACTGTTGTTCAGACTCTTTTGTCGCACGGAGTGTTCCCTTGATGTAGTACTCTCCCACTTTTCCTATGGGCATGGCTTCCTGTGAGCCAAAGTGCATTGATTGTTGTCTCTCCTCTGGGTCTAGCCACCCAGCAGGTCTACCTGGCTTTGGGCTGGTACTAGGGGTTGTCTGCATAGAGCCCTGTGATGTGAACCATCTATGGGTCTCTCAGCCATGGATACCAGCGCCTGTTCCAGTGGAGGTGGTGAAGGGTGCAATAGACTCTGTGAGGGTCCTTAGCTTTAGTGGTTTAATGCTCTATATTTGTGCTGGTTGGCCTCCTGCCAGGAGGTGTTGCTTTCCAGAAAGCATCAGCTGTAGTAGCATGGAGGAACTGGCAGCGGGCAGGGCCCTAGGACTCCCAAGATTATATGTCCTTTGTCTTCCACTACCAACTTAAACATTTGTGAGAATTTCAATATCAGAAATTTATGTGTAATCGAATTTATTCTGGTAGCCTAAATTCTGGTAGCTTATTTTCTTATATGCTTCAATCTTTATAATTTAGTTCTCACATGAGAGAGATCTAATATTGGAAATACTTTCAATCTGTATGTTTATGTATTTATTCTAGTTGTCCTGGCACAAGGTTATCAATGTTGCTGCGTGACCAGCCATTGGCTTTTCACATTTACAGCTCCTCTGAATTTTTTCTTGCCTCATTTCTGGTGCTGGGAAATTCTGATATTTTCTCCTCATCTCCATTGTACATTTTAGGGATTCTTGAAACTTGTGATGCACAAACATCCACACCTTCCACATAAGTAAAATATTTTACTTAGATATTTTCTAGCAGACACTGAGTTCTCATGAGAAATCCTCAGTCTCTTTATTTGGAACACCCCCACCCCAGTATTCCATATGGAGTAGTTATGTGTAGAATGTGATTACTTCATTAATATGTCGAAGTATGGGTACATTTTGAACACATTTGTGAACTTGTAATCCCTTTCTTGATGAATAGTACCTGCGGATGAGCAGAATTGATATTTTCTCTGGAGCAGTAAGTTAGCACTGGTAGAATCTGTTCTGTAATCCCAGGTCCCTGGGCTCCAGTGTCAATGCTTCCTCCTTAGATCCTCCCTGACCCTGTAAATTTACCTCAGTCTCTATTTCTTAATCCAATAGCTATTTCAATTGATCTTCAATTACTTTGCATGTGGCCAGATATTATTTATGGGTTATATTCTAATTCACATTTTTCTGATGTAATTTCAGAGAGCCTAGAAAATATAATAAACTCCTTCTGACAGGTACTTGAGCCTCAGTATTTCAACATGAACAAATGCAGCATCTATTCCCTATCATGAGCACTCTAAATGGCAGTTGAGTGTTTATATCAAAAAAAAGTCAGGAATCATAATCATTTAGAGATAAAAGAGATCCCAGATCTGAAAAGTCAGCTAGCTTAGGAGTTTCAAGACTTTAGGATTTCACAAATCAATAAAATTAAAAAGAAAAAAATGTAAGGTTTAACATAGAGATATCACTTAAACAATGACTACTATTGTGATAAAAGGACATTCAACGGTAAAGGTGTGGGAAATATAACCTCAGAGATGAAAATGTAATAGCTTGGGCCAAGCTCATTAAGTGTCCTTATTTTTGTGTTTCCACCATGGATGGCTGACACTGTCACCTCTGGCATGAGTCCACATCAGCACCCTGGAAATGCCTCCTATAGGGTAATCCTGCAGAAGGCACTAGCACCCCCAGACTCGGGCAGACAGCTGGCTAGACAGTGCTGCTGGGAGAGTACTGCCTCTCAAAACCCGTCTCTCTGTACCAGCTGCCCAGTGTTTCTGTTTCTGCCTACTTGGAGGAACAAAAGCAATCCTGCTCCTCTCCCCAGAGACAGGTAATTATGCCGCATTTTCTTTCCTGTTTCTTACATGACAAGCACTCAAAACTTGTCACTCTTTTGGTTCTCTCCAGTGCCCTCCAAACAGTCCATGTTCAAGCCAAAGAGGAATCACTTCTGCTTACCATGTTAACTTTTAAAATAGTTAACTGCAGCCTGCATTATGAGGATAGCATGCCAGCATAAGGAAGTTAGCATCATCTAGAGTGACCACAGAAGCTGCATCTGTCCGTGTGACTGGACACTGTATATGTCCAGATCTCTGCAAGGAAGAGTCATGTCATACTTTAGAGTATGACTGAGTCACACTCAGAGGGAAGTGATTCCCACAAGCAGCTCCCAGCCAGTAACTGAGCTTGGCAGGGATACTGAGGCAGGCCCCTTCCTGGGAGAAATGGGACTCCAGAAGTCCTGGACCCTCTCTACTTCTTTTTATACCTGCTTACAATTTAGCCAATTCTTTTCTGAGCTCATCTCTTTCTTACAGTAGTGACCAAGGGATGTTACTAACGTTCAGTTTCCCCATCTTTTCACCTTAAGCTTCAAGTTCCTTCAGCACATCATCCGCCCTTCAAGTTATTCCTACAACAGCTTTACCAAATATTTCACCACTGCATAACATAGATTACCATCTTTCCAACCCTCAGTAACGGTTCTCTTGCTGACTGCCATCTGGCCCTAGAGCCACATATTTTAGGGTTTGTGTTTTGGCTGCTCCCCACTCCTGGTACCATAACACCATCTATCAAATCTACCTGTAGATCATGAAATTACATAGGGCTTCACCAAAACTGCTATGGAGGTGGGGAGAGGGACAATTGGAATGAAGCTCAGAAAGCTGCACTTGCAGAGTCATTTATGTAAGACTGTGAGTGTGCTGCTGGTCCACATCAGAGGATGGGGACTACCATGGTCTGAATGTCTGTGTCTCTCCAAATTTCATATGTGGAAACTTAATCAAGGTGATAGTTTTAAGAGGTGGGGCATTTAGGAGCTGATTAAGGCATTTGGACAGAGCCCTTCTGAATGGGATTAATGACCTTATAAAAGAAATGAAGATGAACAAATGACCCCTTCCACCACATGAGGACATAGCAAGAAGGTACCATCTTAAAGCAGAGAGCAAGCCCTCACCAAGACACTGAATCTGCAGATGCCTTGATCTTAGACTTCCCAGCCTCTGAAACTGCAAAAAAAAAATAAATAAATAAACTTCTGTTGTTTATAAATTACCCAATCTAAGGTATTTTGTTTTAGCGGCTCAAAGGAACTAAGACAAAGGTCATGGAGACCATAGGGTGAGTCTCAAGACTTCCCCCAGCTCTACTTGGCTGGTCTCCTGCTGGTATTTGCCGTCTGTAGAGAGGAAAAAGAACTCCCATTTTATCTTGCTTACCTGCACTTATGAAAAGTCAAACTGAGTCATGTTGAGAGCCAGGGAACATAGGAGTCGGTTCTTCAGCAGGAGCACTCAGCTAGTTGAAGGCAATGTGGAGTGATGGGAAGAGAGCAGTGATGCAGTGATGCTGGCACCAACTCCTTTACTATGGCATCCATTGTACCAGCTGCCATACACCTGGCTACTTCTACACCTTATCTCTAATCACTCCAGAATACGTATTAGTTTCCCCATCTTCTAGAAAGGAAAACTCAGACCCAGAGACACTAAGCAAGTAGCTCAAGATCACACACGTTATCTGTGATTAAGCCTCAGTTAGAACTGGAGTCTTGGATTTCCACATTTATACCCTTTTCATGAAGCTACCTAACTTTGATCCTCAAGTTTTCCCATCTATAGCATGGGACTGCTGGACTAGAAATCTCTAAGTCCCCTTTACCTCTTGAATTCTGTGTCTCTAAGGATGAGAATAACAAAACTCCTTTGCCTCTAGCACTTTCCAACTCAAAGCCCTATCACTCTCATTACATCTAATCACTGCAGCCAGAAGCATTAAATAAAATGGAAGGACTGACATTGGGAGTGGGCGAGGCAGAGAAGTTGGGGGCGTGGAGAAACAGCTCTTTTTACATAATGATTGCTACTATGATTTGGTTATAAATAACCAGTGAAGACAATCAGGCTTTTCTGGCAGTCCCTAATTGTAGTGAATGTTGGAATACAGTGACCACCCAAATGCTCTAGACTGATTGGGAAGGTGCCACTTCTAAATCAGCTGGGCTAAATGCATTGCATAAGCTGAGTATTTAGCTTAATGATTAGAGCCAGTTGACGAAACACAAGAATATGGAAGCCTCCTGCTACTTCTCAGAAGATAAGACAATGGCATTCCACCACCAGTGTTTACTGTGGTACCCAAAGGGAGCTCCAGTTACTTCCCTCTGTGCCTATAACCCTTGGATCACCTGGTTGCACCAGACCCATCCTGACTAAAATCCCTCCAAAGGACCAAAGAGGAGATATGGACAAAAATAAAAAATAAATCTCATCTGCTCTCTTTCCTAAGGACCCAGCAGCCTCTATCCATCCGTCGTTCATTCACTCATTCCACACACTTTCATCTAGCCCCTGCTGAATGCCAAGCACTGGGCTGGAACTCTGGGGACTGTGGAGGTGGAATAGGAGAATATGGGCTTTCTGTGAGCAGTGATTGCCTAAAATATATACATCAAGGTTGTAGGATCATGTGCACCACTGCACTCTAGCCGGGGTGACAGAGTGAGACCCTGTTTCAAAAAAATTAAAAAAAAATTGTAGGATCATGGAGAAAGTGTCTTAAGTGTTTGGTGCTGTGGACAGGCAACACAGGCAGAAACTGGTGGCTAGGGAATCAGAGAAGTTTTCAGGAGGGAGCATTTGACTTGGGCTTGAACTGAGCATCATAGGGCAATATAGAAACAAGTTTATGGATAATTAACTGAATTGGTGGCAGTTTATAACTTGAATCTTCCTTCAGATGATTGAAGTTAGTAGCCCAGCTATGAAAGTCTAGGTTACAGATGTCTCAGCCACAGCTTGCATATATATGGATGAGGTTCATACATATGCAGACTTGGGCTCCTGCCAAGATATGAGAGTTTTGGTCAGTCTCTGTCTCAATTCTAATGTCTCTGCCTACATACTTCAGTCCAGAGTTGTCATGCAAAGAACAGAACCCTGGAACAATCACACAAGGATTTGGTACTAGGCTTAGCCATTTTCTAGCCATGGGGACAAAAGAAAATTACTGAACCTCTCTGAGTCCCAGTTTATTTGTCTATAAAATAGGGATAGTGATACTGGGGTTACAAGGAAATTGTGAGAATTAAAATAGTTCAGGAGAGGTTAAGTTGTCCTGGGGCCACCTTTGTCATTGCAGTGACCACACTCTGTAGTGAGGGCACCCTTGAGAGCAGACAGCAGAGCTGCTATGTGATTCATCTCTAGAATCCATGATTCTTGGAACACTTCCTGAGAGCTATTAGGCATTCAAGAAATGTTAATGGTAGATCATAGTATAATGGTAGATCATAGTATTGTGATAGATCATAGTATTGTATTATTGTTCAGCAAACATCTGTTTTCCCTCCTTTCATTGGAAGTGGTGTACTTCCCCACCCCACTGACATTGGGCTTAGCCATGTGACTTGCTTCAGCTAATGGAATGTGAGTGACTCAGTGAATGCCACATCCAAGCAGAGGCGTTAAATATTCCTGCATGGCCTCTGGTGATCCTGTCCTCCAGCATGAGATGAACATGCTTCAGATAGCTGCTGCTACTCTCCTGGATCCTCTTCTGAGAGCCAAGTGAAGCAAATAGGAACCCAATTCACCACCCAGATCCAGGCCCATCTGAATCTAGCCAGCCCAGAAGAGCCCTGTAGAACCACAGCTGACCTATGGAAATGAGAAGTAAATGTTTGTTGTTGTTAGCATTGAGATTTGGGGATTACTTTTTATGTGACATCATCACAACAAAGCCTGACTAATATATTGTATAAAGTTAATTGAGTACTAACAACATGCCAGGTATTGTTCTAAGTCCTTTATATAAAGAATCCCATCTAATCCTTACAGCACTGCATAAGGAGGTATCATAAGTATCTCCATTCAGCTGATTAGAATTGAGGCATCTGGTCAATCCCCTTCATGTTATTCCTCCTCACTTCCTGCATCCGAATGAACCAAGCCTCCTGTGTTCATTAGAACCACAGACCAAGCCTGCTGGAGAAAGACAGGGCTGTGAAGATGGGAATGAATTGGCAAACAGCTTTGGAATGACAATGTTAAGGCCAGGCAAATGCTCTCAGTAACCTCAAATGAGTGTTGATGTTCATGAAGCCTGCTCAAAAAAGACACAGAAATTGACGTCTTTTATCTGAGGACCCTTCCTTAGCCTCAGGACTTAAGGCTATGGGAGCATGAGCCACATAACCATGAGAGGCAGGGGGTTCAGTGAGAAGAATAAGCTCAAGAGTCTCACCTGTGGGTCAGAATCTCAGCTGTGCCACACATACTGTGTGATCTTGAGCAAATCACCAAACCTCTCTATTCCTCATTTTTGTCACCTGTAAAGTGGGACTATTACTTGTACCTACATCCTGGATTTGTTGGGACAGTAAATGAGTTAGTGTTCCCAAGGTGCTTAACACAGAGCCTTTGCATGCAGCAAGCACCCAGTCAATGCCCATGACCATGGCCCCCTGCTCATGCTGCTCTTTGGTTCCCCCTGAGGTCTTTTGGGGACAGAGAGTGTGAAAATGCCCTCTACCCACACAAGGAAACAGGACTCAGGGACAGAGGACCTGTGCCCTGACCAAGGCAATGCATCCCTCACCATATATGCAGTGGTGCATCCTTTCCTGTTACCTTTTGGATCAGCAATTAAGGCTTTAGTCTTTTTTGTTGGTGTGCAAAGGTATTTTCTTAATGGCCCTGCAGCCCAGCCATCACAAAAATGCTTTCCAGCTCTCAGGGAGAACATTTCTGATGCATGCTGAATCCAGAATTCAAATGAAGCAAAATAAAGGCACCAGGGGCTCTTACGAGACAGAGTGACTCAAAACAGAGGGAATGTGGGGACTTGGGGCATAAGATTGATCATGAATCACCAAATAGAAAAACCTTGGGATGGCTTTCAAGAAGAATCCTCCTTGAAGTTTTAACTTTCACCTACAAGCAAGTTTTCTCACTGCTCTGTACAGCAGGGTAAGGACAGCAGCCTCACAGCATCAGTCTGAGGATAGAATGGGTTAATGCAGCCAGGCACAGTGGCTCATGCCTGTAATCCCAGCACTTTAGGAGGCCGAAGCAGGCGTATCATGAGGTCAAGAGATCAAGACACCCTGGCCAACATGGTGAAACCCCGTCTATACTAAAATACAAAAATACTAGCTGAGTGTGGTGGTGCATGCCTGTAGGCCCAGCTACTTGGGAGGCTGAGGCAGGAGAATTGCTTGAACCTGGGAGACGGAGGTTGCAGTGAGCCAAGATCGCACCACTGCACTCCAGCCTGGGTGACAGAGTGAGACTTTGTCTCTGCCAAAAAAAAAAAAAAAAGAATGGGTTAATGCCTGAGAACTCTTTGGCACAGTGCCCAGCACAAATTCAGCAGTCACTCAGTGTTGGCTATCATCTTTGGTGATGTTGGTCCCAAACCCAGACCTCTGCTCTTGTCCTCGGCTCATACACCCACCTGTATAGCCCATATGCACTTTAAACATGAGTCCAAAATGGAATCCAAAATATTAGATGCCCTCGTTGCCACCACCAGGTTTGCTTTCCTCTCAAGCCACTGAGGGATCCACAGAAGCAGAGACCATGATGAGAACCCATCTTTAACTCTGGGTCGCTAGCACAGGGGCAGAGTAGGCAGTCACTACATCTTCAGAGCTTGTGAGTTTTATTTTGCTTTGTTTTGCAATCTGTCATCCCCACACTCTTACTATATAAGACAGTGCCTAGCCAGACAAGCATAGGTTTAAATCTCCACCTTGTCACTTCTTAGCTGTGTGACCCTGAGCGACAAGCTTGAGTTTTCTGAGCCTCAGCACCTTTAGCTGTACAGTGAGAATGAACAGACCTCCTCACAAGGCTGCTATAAAGAATTAACGAGGCTGGGCATGGTGGCTCCCACCTGCAATCCTAGCACTTGAGGCCGAGGTGGGTGGATCACCTGAAGTCAGGAGTTCGAGACCAGCCTGACCAACATGGTGAAACCCCGTCTCTACTAATAATACAAAAAATTAGCCGGGCATGGTGGTGGGTGCCTGTAATCCCAGCTACTCGGGAGGCTGAGGCAGGAGAATCGCTTGAAACCAAAACCGGGTGGCAGAGAGAGGTTGCAGTGAGCCAAGATTGCACCACTGCACTCCAGCCTGGGTGACAAGAGTGAAATTCCATCTCAAAAAAAAAAAAAGGAATTAATGAGATCACTCCGCACAAATCCTAATGTGGCATCTGATACAGGGTGAGTTCTAGTAAATGAGCATTTTTTACACTCAAGATGTAAGAGTGATGGTTTCATTATTAGAGATGAGAGAACCAAATTAATAAACGTTTAATCATGTACTTAAAATCACACAACTGGGACTCATAACCAAGCCCTTTTCTTCCTGGTCTGATGTTCATTCCTTGTTGTCTGAAATGTCAAATCATTTTACCAGAATAGCAGGGGAGAGAGGGACAGAAAGTTGCTTAAATTATTGATTTTGTTTTAGCAGCCTCTCATCCTGCAAGAGGGGCTTGCAGTAACAAAGGCCTGGCACCTTTGAGTTTGTTTTTGGTCCATTTTTTAAATCTTCATTCCCTTTAGCTCTTGTTGAAAATGGCTTCCTGCCACTTTGCACAGAAAAATCTCTTTCATGAAATACCAAAACCAAACAAAAAACAGGCCTTCCAAATGCTGTTTTGCCTCCTCCTAAGAGCTAACATTTGCCAGTTGTAAATTAACATTCCTTTCGCTTCTTTCAACAGAAAATCAATCAGGGCCCTAAAATCCCTGCACATCTGTATTTAATCCACAAATAATTCAACAATGTTCTATCTTAATGGTGTATTGTGAGAAAAGCATAAATGTCATCAACTTCTTTTACGTGGAAAGAACAATAGGGCATGAACTTGTTTGTGCTCCTGATGTCCTTTAGAAATGGATTCCTAAGGACCAGGAGTGTTCTCCCCACCGACGGTGCACAGTGTCACAGCAAGGACAGTCAACTGGGAGTTGGGAGACCTGGACTTCAGTTCACACCACTTTGCTGGGGTACTTGGGCAAGTCCTTCAGGGCCTCAATTTCTGCATCTGCACAATATGGGGAGTGGTCAACATGATTTCCGAAGTCTCTAGCCAGATTTCAAATTTGTTTACAGCACACAGAAAATTGCTAAAGAGAAAAAACTATAGTGGCCATTTCTGTTCAGGCTGCAAAATCTTGTGCACTATTTACATATTTAGGTATGAACTGTCTCAAAGGGTCTTTCATTTAAAAATGACCAACATGGAGAAACCCCATCTCTACTAAAAATACAAAATTAGCCAGGCGTGGTAGTGCATGCCTGTAATCCCAGCTACTCCGGAGGCTGAGGCAGGAGAATGGCTTGAACCCGGGAGGCAGAGGTTGCTGTGAGCCGAGATAGCACCATTGCATTCCAGCCTGGGCAACAAGAGCGAAATTCCATCTCAAAAAAAAAAAAAAAAAAAAAAAAAGAGGATGTAGGCTACAGCCATATACCCTGAACATGCCCAATCTCATCTGATCTTGGAAGCTAAAAAGGGTCAGACCTGATTAGTACTTGGATGGGAGAAAATGAAGGTGGAGATAGTTCTTTGTGAAGACACATGTGTGTACTTATTTGTGCACTTGTGTGCTTGCAATTGCATCTTGGGCACATGTGTATTGTGGAGGCATCTGTGTGCCTGTGGAGTGTGTATACATAAGTACCTGATGTATGTTTGGCTGCAGAGGCACAGAAGGTCAGCAACAGCAGGTGGCTGCATGCAGGGGCACTAATAATTACTCATTTTATACAAACTGTTTAGCAACAATGTTAGCTATTCTACTGCTGACTTTACGAACAGAGAAAATGTGGCCGGACACAATGGCTCCTACCTGTAATCCTAGCACTTTGTAGGGGCTGAGGCAGAAGAAGCCCTTGAGCTCAGGAGTTTGAGACCAACCTGGGTGACGTAGTGCGACCTAGTCTCTAATAAAAATTAAAAAAAAAAAAAACTATCCAGGTGTGGTGGTGCATGCCTATAATCCCAGCTACTTGGGAGGCTGTAGCAGGAGGATCACCAGAGCCCAAGAGTTTCAGACTGCAGTGAACCATGATTGCTCCACTTCACTCTAGCCTGGATGACAGAGCAGGACCCTGTCCCCCTGCCACAAAAAAAGAAAAGAAAAGAAAAGAAAAAAGAAACATAGAATAGAAAACGTCTCCTGGTTTGCATCCTGGAATAGAGAAATGAGCACAGGCTTTCAAATCAAACAGTAGTGATTCATATCCTGCCCCTGGCACTCACCCAGCATCTCTGAACCTGAATATTTTCATCCAGGTTGACTTAAGGATGAAATGGAAAAAGGTTTACAAAGTACCTGGGGCATAGCAAAGGATTCAATAAATGTTCTCTCCCTTTTCTTCTATATTAGTTATCTATTGCTAAATAACAAATTAACCCAGAACTTAGCAGCTTAAAACAGCAAGTGTTTTTCTGATAGTTTCTATGAGTCAGGAGCCCAGGCAAAGCTTCGCTGGGTCTTCTGGCTCACAGTCTCCCAAAGGCTGCAATCAAGGAGTAATATAAGGCTATGGTCTCATCTGAAGGCTCAACTGAGGGATGCTTCCTTTCCAAGCTCACTCATGTGATTATTAGCAGGTTCAGGTTTTGGCTGACTCTTGGTCAGACACTCCCCCAGCCTCTGGTTTCTTGCTACTGGGCCTCTTCATAGAACACCCACAACATGGCTGCTGGCTTCCATCAGAACAAGAAAGCAAGAGAGCAAGAGAGGGTGAGCAGGATGGAAGTCATTTTCTTCTTGTAACTTCTCAGAGGTGCTGTTCATCAGTTTCACCATATTGTGTTTGTTAGGAACAAGACATTAGGTTCAGCCAAGATATAAGGGAGTGGAGAGGATTATACAAGGGCATGAATACCAGGAGACATGGATCACTGGAGGCCATCTTAGGGGCTGCAGGGAAGCCTGTCCTCCAGCCCCCAGTGATTCACATCCTCCACCCCATGCAAAATACATGTGTGTCCTGCCAAGATCCCTAAAAATCTCCTCCCCCTTCAGCATCAACCAAAGTTCAGAATCTCATCAAATCAGGTATTGGGGTGGGGACTTCTTGAGAATGACTAGTCACATGCAGCTCCTAGAGTACAGTTCCTCTCTCTCCGAGAGCCTGTGAAACTAGAGAGACACAGTATCTGCTTCCATACGCCTAGCATTAAATGGTATAACAGGCATGGGTTAGCTCTATATCTGTCTCCTTTTTCTCTAGATGTTTGATGAGACAAGTATTTTAATTTTGTATTCCACTAATTTATTCATTCAACAAATACTTATTAGGTACTGACTATAGACTCTTTATTTATTTTGCATTCCCATTTTGCCAACAAGGAATCTGAGAATCAGAGGCAAAATATTACAGCTTGGCCCACTGAATTATTTTTTCTTCTCTGAAAGGACCTCTAGGATTCTCCATCAATGAGGACTTTCTAGTCACAGCTGCAGTGAGGTTTGAGTTTAGCTGATTAGACCATCAACCACAAAGACTATACATTCAAATACTTTTATGTGGCAGAATATCTAAGAATAATTCAAGCTAATAAAAGATCTAGAGAATAATTAGATATATTCATTGTTAATAAGAGCCATTTAATATTGTAGCAAAGGCAAGATCAGGGCAGGATCAAGGCAGATAATTTTCAAACATGCCTAATGATAGTGTAGACCAATGGTGTTTTTCAATTGTGGCTATATACATTCTAACACATTCAATTTTTTTTAAAAAGTGAAGCTTAGGTCCTATTCCTTAGAAATTCAGATTTAACTAATTTGGAGTGGGCCCCAGACATCAATATTTTAACTTTCAAGTGATTCTAGGAAAGACAGGTTTAGGGGCTGTGGAGAGACACAGAATGGCAAGTACTTAGAACATTCACACATCCCCCACCTCCCAAGCTCCTAATAGAAATCATTTATTAGCCAGTCCCCTCAATGTCATTGGTTGGAATGCAATTGTGTAGTCTTTCTCATCCCAGGACTCCAGGCAGCCCCTACCCATGAAGCCAAGTTGACATATGAAGGCATATGTGTTAGCCCTGACAAGCCACACTGGGCATGCTTTCCCAAACCTACAAATTATCAAGGGTGTAGAAAAATAGAGCCCTCTCCATGCTGAGCAGATCTCACTCATGTAGACAACAGGTCTAATTACCCATTGGAAAGGGCCACTGGAAGAGCACAGGAAAAGGTCCAAGATGGAGAGGGAATTTACAGCCAAGTCTGATAATGGTTTCAGAACCTCAAAATACTTCACCTGGAGAGGACCCATGGGCAATATACATGAAGGAGTTCTCCTCTTCCTGAGTCCCTCCAAAGAGTTGTGTAAAGCCCAAAAGGGGGGCTCTCCAGGAGTAGATGCTATTCAAATCCCACTTCTATCCCTTACTAGAAGTATAACCTGGCTTGCTATTGAGCCTCTCTCAGCCTCCTTTTCCAAATGAGGACAATGGTGCCTATGTCACAAGAATATTGCAGTGATTCCATGAGAAGATGTATACAAAGCACCTTGCCCAATAGATAGTCAACAAATGCTGGTTGTCACCATTATTCTGTCAGTGTTGGTGGAGTGCTGGTACTCATAGTTCACTAAGAGTTTTTAGGACAGCAATGATCTTAGAAGAGAATCAGATCAAAGTTCTGAGTGTTTTCCCTGGAACTGGCATTGTATTATTAATATCCTACAAATGGGAGACATGTATCCCCTGGTCTCATACCTGGAATATCAAAATGGTACTTCATTAACAGTGTCAAAGCAAAAGTCTGATGGCTCTGACTGCTCTTGTGAGTAGGGGTACTCATATTCCCTTTAAGCCCTTCCCCCAAATTGGCCTAGAGGTCCAGGGGGTTCCACATGGGCTCAACATTCTCTGATTAACTCTCCCCTCATATCAACAACTTCCTCCTATCAAGCTTGACATCTTGTCCTATTTCTTCCTATTCTAGGTGTAGGCAAGTCTAGTTTGCTCTTCAGCTACTCTATCCCTCTCCTGCATATTGACTCTTGAATTCTTGATCCCTAGTAGCTTCTCACAGTCTGTGAAATGGAGCATGGAACCACTACATAGAAACAGGAAGGTTCTGCCCTGTACTCTCAGCTCTTAAGGGCACAGTCACAAGAAGACCATTTTTAAATTCTCATTGTGTAACACCCTTACACATTCCACATGCATCATAGCACATAACTCTGACAATAAACTACAAGGTAAGCAACTAATTATTCCCTTTTTAATATTTTTTAAACCTAGGAAGGTAACTTAATCTCTTTGACTTCCAGTTCTCATGAACTAGAACATTAGAGAATCAAGATTTGAACCAGAGGTGATGGTTTTTAAAATATGTCTGCTAGATATCAAAATGAGTGCATGGGATTTGATATATGTACACAGGTAGGCATAGAAATAGATAGAGATGCTCAAGGATATGTGTATATGCACATATGAATATGTGTGCATGTATATACATGTATCCATTTCCCAACTCTGTCTTTTAAGAGGATATAGAAACAATATCACCCCAGTAACAATAAACACCCTAGTGCCCACATCTTGATTTCTCCATATCATTTTCTGCTAGAAGGAACCCTGGTCTCCTTGGAAAAATGGATGATTCCAAGGCTTGGACAGGGAATACACAAGATGAGTCTGACATATCTCATGTTGAAAAGTAACAAACTACTCAAAGAATAATGACAGCATGTCAAAAGGACACAAGAACCAACTTAAAGGGCTCCCACTCACCAAATCTAGGGCAACCTAAATATCA
Organism: Homo sapiens; assembly: GCF_000001405.40. Lineage (NCBI taxonomy): Eukaryota > Metazoa > Chordata > Mammalia > Primates > Hominidae > Homo > Homo sapiens. The sequence goes on from NC_000002.12 coordinate 91,679,193, forward strand.
TGATAAGTATGGATACCCTCAGTTCACTGAGAGATTTGAGGTCAGGGACAGTCTTAGAAGACAATAGAAAACAGTGTTCTGAGTGTTGCCCCTAGAATGAGCATTGTGTTAATATCATAGAAATGGGACACATGTGTCCCCAGGTCCCATACCTGGAATGTAAAAATAGTATCCATTAACAGCGTCAAGTAAAAGATTATAACCTATTATAAAAACTAGAAACCCGGGCTGGGCATGGTGACTCAAGCCTGTAAATCTCAGCACATTGGGAGGCTGAGGCGGGAAGTCTGTTTGAGCCCAGGAGCTTGAGACCAGCCTGGACAACATAGGGAGGCCCCGTCTCTACAAAAAAAAAAAAAAAATTACCTGGGCATGGTGGCATATGCCTGTGGTCCCAGCTACTTGGGAGGCTGAGGTGGGAGGATGACTTCAGCCCTGGAGTCAAGGTTGCAGTGATCTGTGATCATGCCACTGCTCTCCAGCCTAGACAACAGAGTGAGACCCTGTCTCAAAAACAAACAGAAAACTAGAAAACCAAGATTCTATGCCGATGTCAATAATATAAACAAGTGTTCTTCCTTACAGTAGAAAACCAACAATACATTTAGAAAGATTACAGAATTTTTTTAAAAAACATGATTTGACAACCACAGTAATAACTGATTCAGGGAAGGGCTACTAATAAATGCTAAAACCAATGGATGCAAGTTTGAGAAATAATAGGATATCTTCATAGTCTCAAAGTATTTCTCCAAAGGAAATACATATTAATTATAAAGAGTAAAATGGTGGACAGCACCGTAACCCCATGAACAAAGTTAACATTGCTAGTAATGGGACTAATTAATAGCACCTGCCCCTCATGCCTTGAGCTACAGGAGCTCAGCATGGCATCAGTGATATTCCTGCCCAACATGCATAACAGAATCTAATCATGGAAAAGCACCAAAAAACCGAAGTTGAAGGACAATTATACCAAGTAACTGGCCAGGTAATCTTCACAAAGGTCTGTGTCAAGAAAGACAAAGCAGCAGAAACTTTCAAATTGCAGGGGACAGCTAAATGCAACACATGGTCTTGGATTGTTTTGTTATAAAGGACATTATTGTGAAGTCTGAATAAAGTCTGTAGATGAGACGAGAGAATTCCCTGTTTTTAGGAAATATGCAACAAAATATTCAAGAGTAAATGGGCATCACACCTTAGATGACTCAGAAGAAAAAGGGAAGAACAGAGATAAGTGATACAGTGAAACCCTGATGTTTGGGGGATCTGGGTAAACAATATTTAGAAATTCTTTGTACCGTGTTGCAAGGTTTCTGTAAGTCTGAAACTATGTGAGAACAAGTGTTTAAAAATAAAGCATAAAATGTAAAACATCTCTTCTGCAAATTCTTTGGCACTCCTCCCATGAAGAGGTAAAGTCTAATCACCTCCCCTTGAATATGATTTGGACGTAATGACTCATTTCTAACCAATGAATATGGTGTATGGATGCCTAATTATAAAAGAAGATTCAGCATGTATCAGAACAAGGAAGTTCTGGGGCATGTGTTTTGTGTAATTCATGCTCTGTGTGGTTCATGTGCCCATTGCTCAGATAAAGAAGCTGGAGCTCAGAAAGGTGCCCAAATTCAGAAGACTAATAAATGGTGGAGCCAAACTTCAAACTTAGGGCACTGGAGCCTCCAATCCCAGGCAGGTGGCCTTGTGGACGGGGAGCTGGGACCTGGAGTCTGCCCGCCTGGCCAAGGCCTCTCGAGTGCTGCAACATGGGTATTTGGGGCCGGATAATTCTCTGTGCACCATAAGTTGTTTAGCAACATCTTTGGCCTCTACCCAGAAGATGGCAGGAGCACCTGACACCCAGTTGTGACAACCAAAAATGTCTCCAGACATTGCCAAATATCTGTGGGGGTGCAGGGTGCAAAGTTCCCTCATTTAAGAACCACTGACCTAGGGTGAACCGTGGTTCCACTACTTACTTTTCACATGACCTTGGACAAACAACCTTGTCCTCAAGGTCCTCTGTGCCCCCATGTCCTCACCTGTAAAATGGAAAAATAATAACGTGAGGTTAATGTGAGGAATAAATAAGAATCCAGGAAAGCAATTGGCCCATCATGTAAGAGCTACTTTGCCCATAACCCTAGGGTGCCTTCCCTCCAAACACAAAGCTGTGCACAGAGGAGGTACACAGTGAAGATCTGCTGTTGTATAGCTGTGGGGATGAATCAATTAACCATTTCAGTAATAAATGAACAAAAAACTGAATGTCCTGATCTGTGCACTAGTGCATTTGCTGACTGAAGATGTCCTGGCATCCTCTCTCACCATCAAAGAGGAGTTAGGATTAAAGACTCCACAGCCAGGCTACCTGGGTTCAAGTTGAGCTCTGCCACTCAGGAGTTATGTGAGCTCAGGCTGGTTATTTAGCCTGCCAATGCCTTCATTTCCTTATCTGTAAAATGGGGTAATAAAAGTGCTTACCTCACAGGGCAGTGAGAGTGAAATGAATTAATACATGTATTGTACCCAGCACAGGCTGGGTCTCCATCATGCCTGCTGCAATTGCTGCTACAGCAATTAACATTAATCCTATCACACTCCTCTTTTATAGCCCTCCAGCCACACTCCTCCGAGGGTGCCAAGAACAATCCCATTTCCAAGCCTTTGCACTTGCCACTCCCTCTGCCTGGATTGCTCTCCTTCCCAGACATTAGCAGCCCTCCAATCCTTACTTCATCAAGGTCTCTCTTCATGTGGCTCTTTGGAAAGTCCTCCCCTGACCACCATAAATAAAACAGCAGCTTCACCACCCTACTCACCCTGGGCTTTTTGCAACATAGCAATTACCCCTGCCTGGCATTATCTATCCTGGTCAGTACAGCACAGTGCAATGCAGTGCAGTATAGTACAGATCTCTTTATTGGCTTATCTCTCCCCCAGCTCACATAAATGTTCCAAGAGAGCAGAGAATTTGATTGACAACTATATTCCCAGCATCTAGAACAATGCCTAGAGCATAGTACGTAATTATAATGAATGGTGAGTGATATTTTACAGAAGGAAATTCCAAAGTCCTCACATAACCCATTTTCCATAACACAGAACTTATTTAAACTGGAGCCTAGAACAGTGTTTTTCACAAAAGATTTTGCTTATAGCAACCCATGCTTTAGAACGGAATATTGTAAAGACGTCCAGATCAGTTAGATTTGAGTTTCTCAAGTAGTGACTGTGGACTGCAGTGAAACAGTAACAGGAATTCCACCAAACAAGGTTCACAAAGTGAATGGCATTGGGAAATGATACAGAATCTTCTCGCACTGGAGGATGCATCATGCACAGGAGAAGCTCTAAGAAGTCCTATTGAGAAAACAGGTGTTGAACCTGGGTTTGCTGAACTTATTTCACCAGAGACCCCATCCATTAACATCTGCATCACAAAGCACAATTGGGTAAACAGTGATCCAGCTGAAGTCTTTCCATTTACAGACACAGACAGAAAATGAGGCCCAGAAAGGTTAATTGACTCACTCAAGGTCATGCGACCATCTCCTGAATCGTAGAGCTGTGTGCTTTTCACTGCCCCTAATGTTGCCTAATGGTTCACTTAGCTATCCATTCACAGGAGGTCAGAAACTGAACACAGGCCTCAGATTCCAGTATCATTTTGACTAAATTATATGTAAAAATTGATGTACCGAATAGGATTTGCTTTCAATCTCACTAATCCAGAAATAGTCATTCATTCAACAAATATTTATTAAGTACGATGTGCCAGGAGCTGCACATTTTGCAGTTGGCTGCACAGAAGACTGACAATAAAATTAGCCTTAGAGAGATCAAAATTGATTGAACTATCCTTGATAAAACTGCTTCAAAGCAGGGACTTGCAAGAAATTGCATATTCACATTTCATTTGCTTCCATTAATAGTGCTCATATTTAGATCTGATGGTAATACTATGCTCTCAACTGGTGTGGGTCTGGAATAAAACACTCCCCTTGACTGTGCACACTGCAGAGAGGAAAAACAAAATGATTGGAGTCAGCTGGGCTTTTCTATTGAGCACCTGGACCTACAGATTTTCCAATTTCAAGTTCATTCACATTTCATCTCTGGCTTCTACATTTTAGTTAAAAAGCATTTCTCTATTTGCTATTGTCCACTAAGGAAAATGCCTATTTAAAAATGGATTTCTTTTTTAAAGCATCTTGATTCACACATTTCAAAGCCCTTCAGAAAACAGGATTTCTCAAAAGCCATGTGATTCTAAAACATGCTACAGATTTCAGATGGAGAAAGATTCAAGATATTATTCTACATGATCTTTTCAATGAACTGATCGCATCTGTCTAGGAATAAGGAGAGTTGTCTTACGTTACTTCAAAAAAGATTCCAAATGAAAAAAAAAATCTGGGCTTGAGAAGATCTAATGCCATGCCATTGAAGCCAGGTTTCAGCACAGACCCAACATGTGTATAAGTAATAAAAAGAAACCTGAGATAACAGAAGCTCCTCAAGGTCCTTTGCCCTGGAGTATCTTTAAGGCCAAACTGTAAAGAGAATAAGCATGTACTTCCAGACCCAGCAAATGTCTTCTTTGCATTTTAAGGATGCACTCATCGTTTCTTCAGAAGCAATCCTGAAACCCAGTGTAGCAAAGCAAAGATAGTCACCACATAATACAAATAATCTGTGTTTATTAGATACCAGAATAAATCAGGGAGACTTCTTAAGCTATGGTAAAGAGACCCCCACCAGCACAGAGAGAAGAAATGACACAAGCACAAAGCCACGGGAATCCAGACCCAGGAAAGCTGTGCTCCCACCACATCACTGCACACACACAAAACCTGCTGTTTAAAAATCAATTCAAACACAAACAAGTGACTGAAAAAGCCATTTGTTTAAAAAGGGAGGGGAGAGCATATTTTTTAAGGACCAAGTATCATTTTTTTTTTTTTTTTTTTTAAGGAGCCAGCACCATACTCTCTTCTCTCACAGGATCATTGTTCCATCTCTGGTAGGCTGGGTACATTTGACTGAGTTTATTGCAACTGCTTCTGCCAATTCTTTGAACTACCAATCAATGGGGTGAGGTTTCTAAGCACACCAGCTACTACACAGAAACACATGATAAAGGGAGCAGTACTGGAAAGCCATGTATTTGCTTGTGTGTGCATGCTTGTCAATGTCTGTGTGGTTATGCAGATCCATGAGGGGGTTTCTTAATGCAGTTTAATGGAATCCATTTGGGGTGAAAGGTGTTATTTTGTCTAAAGAAATCTCCCCCTCGCAGTCCAGCTCTCAGACAGACTCTGCAACATGGTCACCATCTGGGGATGTCTGATAGATCTGGGACATGCGATCGAAAGGACTCTCCTCCTCCTCATCGTTGTCCACCTCCCGGTCCCCGGGGGGAATGGCGTTGGGCATCATGTGGATGTAGGCAGCTGCGATTTCCTTGTGGAAGACCGTGTCTTGGTTGTAGGAGATGAGCTCATTGCTGATGTTCACCGTCTCCACCGGCGTGCGGGAGCAGACGTGGCTGCACCCCAGCAGCTGGGCAAACACCTTCCGGAAGTCGGCGTTGAAGGCATAGTGACTGGGTTGAGTGAGGAGTTGGCCCAGCAGAACCAGATGAAGACATCGAATGTGGTCTCACTGACGCAGGGGAAGCCGGCCGGAGGGCCTTTGGGGTGTCCACTGCAGAAAGGAACCATGCAGTTAAGGATGAAGAAGGGCAGCCAGCAACACACGAAGACCCCCATGATCACCGACAGGGTCTTGAGAACCTCGGTCTCCTTCTTGATGGAAAACCGCAGGCTGGTGTCGGGCGTGCAGCCTGCGCTGCTCCGGCAGCTCTGCACGTGCTCTGCGGCCCTCTCCAGGGAGGAAATCCTGCGGATCTGCACCTGGGCGATGCGGTAGATGCGCGTGTAGGTCACGATCATGATGGCCATGGGGATGTAGAAGCTGATGAGCGAGGAAGGGATGGCGTAGGTTCGATTCAGGCTGGAGTCACAGTTCTCTGCCCTCACGTCGGGCTCCCAAACGGCCTCCTCCCAGGGCGTCCAGTTGGCCAGGTTGTTTGGCAGGTCCAGCCCACCTCAAGAGACCGCCTGGTCCCTGTGCCAGTTGAGCTGGACCGGAATGAAGGAGATGAGGCTGGACAAGGTCCAGGCCGGGCGGACCATGACCAAGGCCATGCGCTGGGTCATCTTGCGCTCGTAGCGGAAGGGCCTGGAGATGGCCCAGTAGCGGGCCACGCTGATGACCTGCTGACGCACAGGTTCAGGATGGAGGCGGTGGAGCACATGATGTCGAAGGCCACCCAGACGTCGCAGAACGCTTCAAAGGGCCAGTAACCGGCCACCTCGGCGACTGCCTTCCAGGACATGACCAGCAGCGCCACGAAGAGGTCTGACACAGGTAGAGACACGATGAAGACGTTGGTCATCTTGGCGCGCAGGTGGCGGCTCCACACGATGGCTGCGGACACCAGCACGTTGCCCAGCAAGGTCCAGATGACGAGTAGGGTCAGCAGGCAGGCGGTGACCACCTGCACGGGCCCCAGTGGCGGTGCCCCCGCCGAGCCCCCCACGGCATTCCCCTGCGCCAGCTGCTGGTATAGCGCTAACTGCCCCGGGTACGCGGTGTCGTTGCTCCTTGGCGGCAGCATTTCGGGCTGGGCCGCAGAGTCGGTTTGTGCGCGATCCCAACTACAGCCCTGCGACCCCCAGGCAGCCCCATCGGGCACCCCGAGGATGCGCCCCCTCAGCCAAGGGACCCTCGAGCCCCAAAGGGCGCTCACCATGAGCTGCGCCGGGTCCCGGAGCGCGCGGGGACTTCTCTTGCTTCCTGAAGCGCCTCTGGCTCGGTGGCCGTGGTGCGCCCCTCCAGTCTACGCGATGGGCACAGGAAGCGGCTGGTGCCCGCTGACAGCCAGGGCTGTTCTCGGGAGTCTGCGGCGCGCCAGATGGCAGCGACAGCGGCTGTGTCTGGCTCGGAGCGAGAGAAGAGAGCAAGCCGCCACTGAGGGGCTGGGGCAGGCAGTCGCCGGCGCCGGGCTGCACTGCGGCGCTGCCGCGGTCCCTGAACGCTCCCCGGCCCCGCGTCCCGCCCCCCGCGCCTCCGCGCTGGACTCCAGCCCCACCTGTGCCTTGGCGCCCTAGCTCACCGCGCTCAGCGCGCCAGAGTGTAGTGGTGATCCCGCAGGTCCCAGGAGCGCCCCAGCGCCAGACCCTAGCCCCGGGCCGGGGAAAATTCTTCCCGGGAAGACCGAAGGGTGCTTGGCGTAGCCCTGGAGCCCTAGCCCTAGCCACGCTTGGGGAACAAGAGGTGGGGTAGGGATGAGGACGCGAGGGCTTCCGGAGGGGGAAAGAGCATTTGAAGTGTAAAGGGGACGGCCTTATATTGCCCACAGACCTGAGTCCCAATCCGGACTTTATTCCTGGCTCTGCAACTTTAAGGGCCCTACATAACTTTACCCGGCCTTGGTTTCCTTCTCCACAGCGTGGGATAATGATTCCTACTCCTAGAACAGTGTCAGAACTCAGGGAAGCCGTCTAGGATGAGGTGTCCAGTAGACAGTGTCTCCTAGGAACAGGCTCCCGCTTCCCCCAGCCCCTCCCTCAACACCATGAGGCTGGGGCTTCACCTGACCTCTTGGGAGACTGTCCTTTTCCCCACCACCGCCCCCAGTCCTTCAGTGATTTTTCCTTTGGGGAATAATTTGGAATGAACCCAGAAGACAAGAGGAGGAAGAGAGCCCCCCCCCCCCCCCCCCCCGCCCCAGAGAGTTGGAAGCCTCTTCTTTGCAGGGCACTTTTACAGTCTTTCGCTTTTTCAACCTTGAGAGGGGTGGATACATAGCTCAGTGTTGAACAGAAAAGGAACTGACGGGGCCCAAAACCCAGACTGAAAAAAAAATGATGGAAAACAATAAAGAGGGAAAACAGTGTTCCTGAGCTCTGAGTGCACCTCCCAGCTGACAAGTTGCATTTGTGAAGTGTTTCGGCCTCTGCTGGCGTTAAGCTCAGCTGAAGGCAGCTGGGAGAGAAAGGGATGTGACAGCAGCCAGCTGCACAGCTCCGGCTGCGACCTGCTGGCCCAGACACCTGCAGCATGGTGAGGTCTAGTAACAGACTGGACTTTCTCCTCCCTTCCTAGTCTCCCCCTTCACCAAATGCACTTGCACCCTGGACCAACACCTGCAAGTGGCCCAGCTTCTCAGACTTAGGCTGCTCAGCCTACACAGTCCCTTCCCCCAACCTCTTTCCCCTTCAGTGCTTTCTGCCGCTGGAGAAGGCAAGACCATCTGTCCAGGTGCCTAAACCTGAAACTGAAGAGCCATCCTCACCTTCGGTCTCTCCTCATCTTCTAGGAGCTGGATCACTCCTCTGGCCATGGACATCCCTGTCCAGAATTGTGCCTCCTCCACCCTGTTTGAAGGTGGCATTCTCCTGGCCTCCAGGCTCTGCCCTGACCCTCTGTCTTCCCAGAGGCAGTGATCTTTCCTGAATGTGACTATGCTCATGTCACTCCCCTGATGAAACACCCTCAGTGTGTTTCATGATCAGCTCCCTGTGGCCCCTGTTCCTCTCCTGGAGAGGAGAGGAACTAAAAACACAAAAATACAAAAAATTAGCCAGGCGTGGTGGTGGGTGCCTGTAGTCCCAGCTACTCCAGAGGCTGAGGCAAGAGAATGGCGTGAACCTGGGAGGCAGAGCTTACAGTGAGCCGAGATTGCACCACTACACTCCAGCCTGGATGACAAAGCAAGACTCCATCAAAAGAAATGAAGAAAAGAGAAGAGAAGAGACGAGACGAGGACAGAAAGAAAGACAGACCGGAAGAAAAGAAAAGAAAAGAGAAAAAGACCATATCACCCAAATATGAGAAATTCTCCCATATATACATACTTGTATCTAGATGACTAATCTCTGGAAAGTTATAAGAAAACACTGGTTCTTTCCAAGGAAGGGATGGCCAAAAGGTAGGCTAACTTAACATTGTTCACTCTTTTTAAGACCTTTGTATTTCTTGTATCATGCACAGGTATTGCCTATTCAAAAACAAACCTACAACAAGGAAAGACTGAAAGCTTTTCTTCAATATCTGCTACAAGGCAAGGATGCCTACTCTTAACACTTATATTCAACATAGTCCTAGCCAGAGCAATCACATAAGAAAAGGAAATAAAAGGCATCAGCAGAAAAAAGGGGGTAAAATTATCCCTGTGTGCAGATGACATGATCCTGTATGTAGAAACCCCTAAAAATTCCACAGTTACTAGAATAAATGAATTCAGTCAAGTAGCAGGATACAAAATCAATATACAAAAATCAGATGCATTTCTTTATACAAATAATGATCTGAAAAAAAATCAAGAAAACATTTCCACTTAAAATAACATCAAAAAGAATAAAACACCGAGGAACAAATTTAATGAAGGAAGTGAAAGCTTTATATACTAAACACTATAAAATACTGACAAAGTAAACTGAAGACACACAGCCGGGCATGGTGGCTCACGCCTGTAATCCCAGCACTTTGGGATGCCAAGGCAGGTAGATCACCTGAAGTCAGGAGTTCAAGACCAGCCTGGCCAACATGGCGAAACCCTGTCTCTACTAAAAATACAAAAATTGGCCAGTCGGGCATGGTGGCAGGCACCTGTAATCCCAGCTACTTGGGGGGCTGAGGCAGCAGAATTGCTTGAACCCAGGAGGCGGTGGAAGTTGCAGTGAGCTGAGATCACACCACTGCACTTCTGCCTGGGCAACAGAGCGTGACTCTGTCTCAAAAAACAGAAAAAAACTACAGACACAAATAAATATAATGATATCCCCAAGTTTGTGGATTGGAAGAATATTGTTAAAATGTCCATACTATCCAAAGTGATCTACAGATTCAATGCAATCCCTATCAAATTTCCAAAGGCATTTTTCACAAAAATAGAAAACACAATTCTAAAATTTGTATTAAATCATAAAAGACCCTGAATAGCCAAAAGAATCTTGAGAAAGAAAAACAAAGTAGAAGGTATCACACTACCTGATTTCAACTTATATTACAAAGTGATAGTTATCAAAACGTATGGTACTGGCATAAAAGCAGACACATGGATCAATGGAACTGAATACAGAGCCCAAAAATAAACCCAAACATATATTATGAGCTAATTTTTGACAAGTCCAATAAGATACAATAGGGAAAAGATGGTGTCTTCAATAAGTAGTGGTAAGAAAACTAGATATCTATATGCAAAAGAATGAAACTGGACCTGATGCCTATCTTACACATCATACATAAAAAGCAACTCAAATAGATTAAATACCTAACACCTGAAACCATAAAACTCCTAGAAGGAAATATAGGAGAAAAACTCCTTAATATCCTCCTTGACAATGATTTTTTGGATATCACACCAAAAGCTCAGGCAGCAAAAGCAAAAATAAGCAAGTGGGACTACATCAAGCAAATAAGCTTCTGCATAGCAATAAAAAAAAACAAAATGGGGTAAAAAGGTAGCACAGGGATTAGGGGAAAATATTGGCAAACCACACATCTGATAAGGGGTTAAAATCCAAAACATATAAGGAACTCACACAACTCAGTAGCAAAAAAAAAACCCCAAATAACTGGATTTTAAAATAGGCAAGGACCTGAATAGCCATTTTTCCAAAGTCACACAAATGGTCAAATGGTATATGAAAAGATGCTCAATATCATAATCATGAGGAAAATGAAAATTAAAACCACAATAGATATCATCTCGTGTCTCTTAGAATGACTATTAACAAAAAGGCAAAGACATAAGTGTTGGTGAGGATGTGTAGAAAATGAAACCTTTGTACATGGTTGATAGGAATGTAAATTAGTATAGCCATTATTGAAAACAGTATAGAGTTTCCTTAAAAAAAAATACAACTACCATAAGATCCAACAATGCCTCTGTTGGGCATATATTCAAAGGTAATAAAATCAGCATCTGAGAGAGACATCTGGATTCCCATGTTCATGGCGGCATTACTCCCAATAGCCAAGACATGGAAACAAACTAAGTGTCCTAATGGACAATTTACTTACCCATTCAAGGACAGATGAATGGATAAAGAAATTGTGACATTTGTTTATACATATATTAAGTCCTCCCTTAATGTCATCAATAGGTTCTTGGGAACTGAGACGTTAAGCTAAATGAACATACAGCAGGTCCTCAAGTAACACTGTTTCCTTCAATCTAATTTTGGCATAATGCAAAATGAAAAAAAAATCAGTTTTGTCATACTTTTTTTCCCCTCTTAACCACAGTTTCTAAGAACTTACTGATGACAATGAGGACTTTATACAATGGAATAGTTAGCTTTAAGAAAGGAGATACTGCCATTTGTGACAACATGGATGAACTGGGAGGAAAGTATGCTAAATAAAGTAAGCCAGACACAGAAAAATACTGTATGATCTCACTTAAGAAGCAGAATGGGAGGCAGGGGGGTGAGAAGCTGAATGTATAGAGAGTAGAATGGTGGTTATCAAGAGTCTGGAGGTAGGGGATGGGTGGGATGGGCAGAAGTAGGTCTGAGGGTACAAATCTGCAGTTAGGTAAGATGAATAATTCTAGAGATCAAATTAATACACAGCATGAGAACCATAGTTAATAATATTGTGTACTGGAAATTTGCTGAAAGAGATTTTAGGTGTACATACACAGAGAGTAACTATGGAAGGTGAAGGATACAGACATTTGTTTGACCATAGTAATCATTTCACTATGTATACAAAGCATGTTGTATACCTCAGATATGTATAATAAAAATAAATGAAGAAAAAAACAAAAAACTGTATCCTACCTGCCAAAAACAGTTTCAAATGCATTATGTCTTTGGATTTAGCATGGAATTCACCTTTGCAGGCCCACTTACCTACAACATTATAAATATACCAGGTGATTCATTGTACTATTCACAGTAAAAGATTGAAAGAACGCCGGGAGTGGTGGCTCATGCCTGTAATCCCAGCACTTTGGGAGGCCGAGGCGGGCAGATCACGAGGTCAGGAGATCGAGACCATCCTGACTAACATGGTGAAACCCCGTCTCTACTAAAAATACAAAAAAATTAGCCGGGCGTGGTGGCGGGTGCCTGTAGTCCCAGCTACTCGGGAGGCTGAGGCAGGAGAATGGCGTGAACCCAGGAGGCGGAGCTTGCAGTGAGCGAAGATCATGCCACTGCACTCCAGCCTGGGCGACAGAGTGAGACTCTGTCTCAAAAAAAAAAAAAAAAAAAAAGATTGAAAGAAACCCAAAGGTCTATCAACAGGGGAAAGAACAGGTAAATTAAATTGCTTATATTTCCATACAAAGGAATATTTGCAGCCATAAAAAAATGAAGGACAGTAAAAAGTAGTAAGACAAAAGGAACAAAATATATATACACACACACACACACTATATATATATAAACACACATTTCCTTGTACATGCATAAAACACATCTGGAAAGTTACACGAGAAACCTCTGAGGTTTCTGGAGATGCAAACTGGGGGCATGAAGGCAGGGGAAAGGGAGAGACTTCACTGTTTACCTTTTTATTATTTTCCAATTTTAAATCATTTGAATGTATAACTTGTCTAAAAATCAAATTTTAAAAGTTGAGGGAATTAACATTACAGAAAGTAACAAACCTCAAGGAAGCAGCCACCTTCACCAGATGGACAGTCTACCTCACTCTTCCCACGCTCCAGTAGTTACTGAATGCCAGTCCCCTCCCTCCATTCAGTCTGCCCCACCTGCTGGCCTTCTAGAGCCTCAGAGCAGTCCTATTCCCACACCTCCAAACACATCCATACACTGTGATGGTGGATCTGGGACCACCAGTTGAGAGGAAATGTGTTGTGTTTCCACTCTTCAGACAAACAGAGTGTTATTTTATTGAGGTTTGGGATTTTTTCTTGCATTAACAGGGTTTCTAGATCCCAGTAGGTGAATGAGAAAGAAGTATGCTTTTATTGCATAAGGAATTTGTTTCTGATACACCAAAGTGATGATGTATGACTTTTCTTAAAGAAGTGGTTATTAGAAGAGTTAAAAATCAATAGAAACAAAAAGTCATAGGTATTGTTCCAATACTCCAGGAACATCACAATTTGGATTCTGTAGATGTGTGTAATATAATGTGTAATATTACATTCTGACAACCTCAAGTTGAAAACTGCACAGCTGAAGATCACTTATAGTCAATAACACTTTTCAAACTTTAATTTTAAATTCATTAAGTCTCTCCCTAATGTATCGTACTTTTTAATAAAGGAAACTGTCAGATACGCTATAATACAGAGGAAAACGTTTATATACTCTTTCATTATAATTTTTCCACAACTTCCAAAATGAAGAAAAAGACATGGAAACATTAAGTTCAGAGAATAATTGTGGCAGACAATTCCCTCCTCCTGAAAGTTCAATTACCCCAACACAGGCAAAATTTCTTACTAACTCAAAAGGAACTGAATTCACATATAAAGACAAACGTGGGATTCTGTTGAGTTCTGTTGGACACAGAACACAATTGCTCAAGCACTGGTTGGGCACCTGTATTCTAATAGCTCACGATTACTGAGCACTCCATGTCTGGGAAGAGCCAGTGCTGGGTGCCTGGCATGCATCCTTGCACCTCATCAGCACAACTATCCTATGGGCTCATCCTGGTTCACCTATTTTATAAAAGAGAACACTAGCATCAGAGAAGTTAAAAAATTTGCCTAAAAACATCCAGAGTAGGTTTCATCGTTGCCCACTACTTTATAATGCTTTCCCAAGGGTACTGAGACGTTATCAAAACATGTTAGTGAAACAGTCTAAAACATCACAAATTTTAGGTTTAATACAAAATACCCAGAAAAGGGCAGCGTTATTAGAAATCTCAGCATAATGTAATAATAAGAACTTATGATGATTTTATTCTTTTCCTATTTTTTCTCCCGTACAGGCATATGAAATACCATAAAACTTATTTTAGTGGTGTGTGTGTACATGTAGTTTCAGGATAATATAGTAATCTAAAACATTTTTAATATGGCAAAGTGTGGCAATACTAAATTTTTAAAAAGGATTTTTATTTAGCAAACAGAAAGCAAAAATGTTGTCCAAGTAACATGCATTTATTTTATCCCTAGGAATGTACCTTTCCTTCTGCAAAGGATGTGAGATCCTGGCATGTAAATGAACATGAGGGACTAGTCATGAAAATACTGTATATTCAATTCCTTAAATTCTAAAATTGTCTTAGCATTTAACATCTAACACGCTAAACAATCTTTTTTCATATTCAATAAAAATAAAGACAAATTCAGTAAATTCAGATGGGCTATTTTATCACGTACATTTTAAAAAAGCAAGGGTAATTTTTCAACTGATTTTCTTTTACCGTGATACAAGTCAATGAGAAAATATGAAATTGAAACATATCACCATTTCTCAGTGTTTACAAGTGGTAAGTCACAAGGAAAACCTTCCAAGATCTTCTGTGTTGTTTTTAAAAGGTATTATAATCACATAATTTGGGAAACAATGTGTACTATTATCAAGAAACCTTTCATATTTTGTGAAATGGAGCACTTCCCAAATTTAAGAGACTATGGAAACCTTTTTCAGACATTTTTTAACATCCTCAGAAATGGAAATTCTTGTTAATGCTGATCTGATCAATTCCTCCAAGTATATGGACTACTTCTTTGCAAACTCCAAGCCCCCAAATCAAATTACCTGTTCAACCGTATCTGAAAATCAGTTACATACAAGCATCAGAAAGTGTTTCTCCCAGCAACATAGACCCAAAACACACTACAAAACAAAAATTATCAAGAACATACAAAAGACATATCTTTTCATGTATTTATTTATTTTTTGAGATGGAGTCTCACTCTGTCACCAGGCTGGAGTGCAGTGGCTCGATCTTGGCTCACTGCAACCTCTGCCTCCTGGGTTCAAGCAATCCTCTGCCTCTGCCTCCCAAATAGCTGGGATTACAGGTGCCTGCCACCACGCCCAGCTAATTTTTGTATTTTTAGTAAAGACGAGGTTTCACCGTGTTGGCCAGGATGGTCTTGATCTCCTGACCTCAGGTGATCCACCCGCCTTGGCCTCCCAATGTGCTGGGATTACAGGCATGAGCCACCGAGCCTGGCCACAAAAGACATACCTTTTCAAAGCCACAATTACCTCTCACCTGGACCATTGTTTCTCACTGATCTACCTGTCATAACTCTTGCACCTAATCTTCTACTTATATCATAGGAGAGTGTTCCTCTTAAAATATAAATAAGATCATGGTGTTCTTCTTTTCAGGAACATTCAATGGCCTCCCATTCCATTGCTATTAAGCACAAACTACTGACACATCACCTTATGGTTGTGTGAGATATACTGAGCCGTCCTTCTTGTCCTCACATCTCTAATCTTCTCACCTTCTGACTGTCCCCTCTGCTCACTCTGTTGGTCTCCACAACACTCTTCAAACATGCTCAGCACACTCTCACCCAGAGCCTTTACACTGGCTTCTTCACTGTCTGGGGTGCTCTTCTCTCAGGTAATCAAGTGGCTCACTCACTCACCTCTTTAAAATCTGTGCTCAAATACTGCTTTCTGTTCATATGGACCCTAAACACCTGTCTGTACTTCCAATTCCTTTTTTTTTTTTTTTTTTGGAGACGGAGTCTTGCTCTGTTACCCACGCTGGAGTGCAGTGGTGCAATCTCGGCTCACTGTAACCTCCGCCTCCCAGGTTCAAGCAATTCTCCTGCCTTGGCCTCCCAAGTAGCTGGGATTAGAGGTGCATGCCACTGAGCCCGGCTAATTTTTGTATTTTTAGCAGAGAACGGGTTTCACCATGTTGGCCAGTCTGGTCTCGAACTCCTGACCTCAAGTGATCTACCTACCTCGGCCTCCCAAAGTGCTGAGATTACAGGCATAAGCCACTGTGCCTGGCCAGGCAATTCCTCTTTATCAAACTTTATTTTTACCATGGAACTTGCCAAACACATTATAATTAACTGATTTTTTTTAAGAGTTGAGTTACCTAACATTAAAATATAAACTCTATGCAGAGAATTCTACCTGCTTTGTACACTGATATGATTTCCAACATCTGACATACAGTAGGTATTCAATAAATTCTATTGTCTAAAAGCCGGCTGCAGTGGCGCATGCCTATAGTACCTGCTACTTGAGAGGCTGAGGCAGGAGGATCACTTGAGCCCAGGAGTTGGAAACCAGCCTGGGCAATGTAACAAGACACTGCCCCTTAAAAAAAAAAAAAAAAAAAAAAAGCTATGAAATAAAATGTAATGGAACAGAAATAATTATCACTTCACTTCTGAATCAGTTGAAAATAAATAACTGCCCCAAAAATGAGGAAACCTACAGTAATCCTCTTTAATTCATATTGGATTTTAGGTTACTATTAAAATATTTTGCTATCTCAAGAATTCAGCAGGCTGAGCAGAGCAGATGGCTTGAGCCCAGGAGTTCAAGACCAGTCTTGGCAAAATGGCAAAACCCCATCTCTACAAAAAAATACAAAAATTAGCCAGGCATGGGGGCCCACATCCATGGTCCCAGCTACTCAGGAGGCTGAGGTAGGAGGGTCGCATGAACCCAGTAGGCAGAGGTTGTAGTAAGCCAAGATCATGCCACTGCACTCTAACCTGGGCAACAGAGCAAGACCCTGTCTCCCAACCAAAAAAAAAAAAAAAATTCAGCTAGAAAAACCTTATATTTACTTTGATTAAGAAAATGTTTATAAACCAATACTTTATGATGCACACTGGTGAATATGAAGTTATACCTGAAGTAATATTAAATGACAGCTTTTCCATTTCTAGAATGTATGCCTCAACTACCTTAACTTAAACATGGTATTATCCAAGCTCACAGTATCTGAGAAGGTTTGTGTCGTCATCTAGCAAACTAAAGTCAAGCCCTCTGTATTTCCCCACCTGTGATCTTCAAAGATATGGTGCTCCTTGAGATTTCTGTAAGGTAGGTCTGTTCTAAAATGTGTGAAAGGAAGAGAACCCGAAAAGGCAAGGTCTAAGAAGATCACTCATTTGGAGATGGCAAGGGTCACATCGGGGTTATCTAAGTCAGTGTGATTTACCCTTTGGTAAATCATACACATATTTCAAAAGTTACTTTATATGCTGTAATTCTTGCACACATATTTCACGGAAAATAAATTAGTATTACCTCGACTATCATCCATATCACCATCCCTTGAATGTTCTGATTGGATGTCTGGAGGTGTCTGAAGGACGGCCACGCTATTTCTGATTTATAATCTTCAATTTCAGTTTTGGTTTTGACAGTTTTCTTCTTGGAACTGTAACTGTGAGGCTCTGTAACTGAGTCATCCCTGATTCAGTCAAACACACACCATCCTGGGTATAAGTCTTGGGTGGGTCTAAAATTACAAAATCCCAAGAATACAAATTTAAACTTTCATTTTAAATTTGACTGATTACTGTTCCAAAATACCCATGTCAAGGGAATGTGACTGTAGTTCTAGAAAGTAATTACGTATCTATGAAATGCATGAATAATTAATTTCATGATACCCAATAAAAACTAGGAACAATAGGTCAAACTTCCTTGGATTATAGGCAGAAATGTTACATGTTTTTAAAAAATGGTCTTCCTGGGCCCGTTGCGGGGGCTCATGCCTGTAATCCCAGCACTCTGGGAGGCCGAGGCGGCAGGCAGATCACGAGGTCAGGAGATCGAGACCATCCTGGCAAACACAGTGAAACCCTGTCTCTTCTAAAAATACAAAAAATTAGCCCGGCGTGGTGGTGGGCACCTGTAATCCCAGCTATGCGGGAGGCTGAGGCAGGAGAATCCCTTGAACCCGGGAGGCGGAGGTTGCAGTGAGCCGAGATCGTACCACTGCACTCCAGTCTGGGCAACAGGGTGAGACTCCATCTCAAAAAAGTCTTCCTGGCATTTTTATTTTCATGTCCCAATAAAAAGAGTTAGAAGCACTGCAAATAAATGCAATGCTCAGCTAATCCACTATGAGCTTTTTCCTGGAAAAGATCAAAAGGCAGGGATCTATTTACACAAGAGAAGAGAGAATACTCCAGAAGCTCATCTGGAAAAATCAGAGTATCAACATAATTACTAATAGGGAGAAGTAATAAATAAGTACAAATCCTGCAGATTTAATTTTAAATGTACAAAACTGTTGTTCCTTAGAACAACTTCTGTACTATCCAAATGTTTTTGTATCAGGTGCTATTAAATACAAGTATTCAAAAGAATGACTGTTTAATAAGAATATCATATTAATCACCATACTAGGCTTATTAATTATTTTAAAAAATTAAGAGATTGAATTAATTCTAAAAGAAATCTGCTTGCTAACTAGGCCGTATTTTCTGCTAACTGATAATTAAGCACAGTAATATATCAATGAAACCAAAGCAAGTATGGCATTAATGGTTATTCTAAGAGCTGTTATTTTTGTTGCCAACTTGCTGAAATTTATAGGAATACTGCCCCAGTAAAGCTGGATGACATTTTATATATCATTGTGGAAATGATTACCAACATTACGGAATTTGGATAGAACACCCATATGATTGAAGCAGATTTTATAAGTGGTAAGCCAATTATGTAAAAATTAAGCAAAGTAAATTAATTAAATTAAGTAAAGCATTTCAAATTTTAACTAGCTCTTTTACTTTTGTGACAATTTGTGCTACAAGTGAAGATCCACAGCAGTCTGAGGAAGGCACTGAAATGAAAAAAAAAAAATCCAGGTAATTCTTTTCAGAAAAGGTAAAGTGTATTTACATACTTACATATGATTAAAATTTCTGTTTCTATACTCATTTTATTAAAATAAATGTTTGAACACTAAAGTTAAAAGCACTTTTTAAAGCAACAACAAAACAAGAAGTGATGAAGGAAATACTCAAGTCATGGAGGAAAACCTGGCTAAGAAAGAATCAACACATTGGATTTTAACATATTGTCAATAACTACAAGATCATGTTCCTTGGAAGCAAAATTATAGTTTACATCTAAAGTATACGCTTTTTATTGTTTCATGTAAATTGTTTTATAACAAGTTGTGATAAGTCATGTATAATCAACAATAATATTTTTCATAAAATACTTGTCAAAGTAAGTTTCACAAAGACAAAATAGAGTAGAGCTAAGCTAATTCATTGGTTATGGACAGTAAGGTGCAAGTGAGTGGTACAAGAGTGCAGACTCACAGTTTAAATTATTCTTTTACCATTAGACGCAGGCATATAGGGTCTGCACATGTTGCAATCAAAACCAATGTCTGCTACATTTTCCACTTCTTCCTCAGTATTTAAGTTCTGACGAACTGCATGCATCCATCTAAAAAGACCATATTTGTACATTTTTTTTTAAAAATGGAATATACTGAGAACTGCTACCTTTTAAAACCTGTAACACTGAGTCATCAAACTTAAAAGCCCTAAGCCTCACATGCTCCTCCTACCTTGCCCTTTTCTCCTAACTATCCCTATTAACAGAAAAACTTTCATAGAGCTAAGAAGGAAATAAAAAGGAATGAGAACAACTATTAGAGAGGAAGCAAAGCACATTACATAAGGAAGCTAATTATTTTATCATCATATATTAAATATTTCAAAGACAGCAAGGAAGCTAGTTAGGGCAAACACAAAGGTATTCAGAAAACAGCAAATGGCAGTGCTAGCATATATGGGCTCCAGGCAATGCATCTAACTTGAAGTAGACATATATCATGGAAAGCGATGTTGAATGGTAATTGGGAAATAAAGTAAAAAGTTGTCTTGCAATGGAACAGATAATTAGTAGCCAGAGTCCCAAGAATACTGTACTACTGATAAAATAATACTATCAATATATGTTCACTGCTTAACTTCTAAAGAGTACAACAATATACCAATGAAAGCAAGGAAACATTCTTGATTTTGAAATTCCACATAATTACGTAGGGAGGGCAGAAGGTGCTATCTAATACCTAGATATCTAGTATCTAGAGCTTTAAGAGAAAGTGGTTTAAGGAGAACAGAAAGTGTTAGATATTTTTTATAATCTATTAAAAGATTCAGAAACCCTTCATAAGAAACAGCATAGAGGAAGACAATAATTCTCCATCTAATTTCAAGGGATTCCTAAACCCTCAAAAAGGCCTAAATTAAAAATCTTCAGTCTTGGGTGGACACAGTGGCTCACGCCTATAATCATAAAACTTTGGGAGGCTGAGGCGGGTGGATCACAAGGTCAAAAGATGGAGACCATCCTGGCCAACATGGTGAAACCCTGTCTCTACTAAAAATACAAAAATTAGCTGGGCGTGGTGGCATGCACCTGTAGTCCCTGCTACTCCGGAGGCTGAGGCAGGAGAATCGCTTGAACCCAGGAGGCGGAGGTGGAGTTTGCAGTGAGCCGAGATAGCGCCGATGCACTCCAGCCTGGCGACAGAGCAAGACTCTGTCTGTAAATTTAAAAACAAAACAAAACAAAACAAAACTTTAGTCTGGAGTTGAGAATTCAAAACAGGAAATCAATTCTGTAAGTTTCTAGGTGACTAAAAATCTACAAGGCAAAAAGCTCTGTACCTAAAACTTGTGATTAAGGAAAAGCTATTTTCCATTTTTTTTTTTTTGCTACATTTCAAAGAGAAAAGCTTTAAAAAGATGAAAAAATAGCACAATACCTATCACATTGTCTTCATTGCAGAATAAGATCTTCTTCTCTATAGTTTCAATAGCAGACTGGACAGGAAGATAAACTTGCACAAGGAGCGCACTGTGTGTAATTGTTCTGCCATTCACATCTTAGACCTGCAGATGTTGCTCCACAGTGTCTGCACCAAACACACCTGAAATCCAAATCCCCCCGAAAAGTCTCAATTTTATTTTCTTAGTTATTCAGTTACTGTAATTCAGGAAGCTACATACGAACATAATGGGGCAAATGATTTAATGTGTATGTGAAAATTTTTCTGATTAGTGGTATCTATCATAGAATATGTGTATTATTCAATTAAATAGGTATGGCTAATTTTTAAAAACTAAAGTGGTATGAGAAAGCTCTGAACTTGAAAGACTAACAAGGCAAACAAACCCTAGAGAACCATTTGCACTTCCAGCCTCCTTTGGGAACTGTCTGCAATGGAGGGTCTAGGCAGTAGGTGTGATAACTTATGTCACAATCATCACACAGCAGGAGTCTTCCTGGGTCAGTTGCCTTCCCACAGGCCTCACACACAGTGCACTCAAGACACCTCCAACCTTTGCTAAGAACCACTTTAGTGATCTGTAAAAGAAACAACCAATCCATGTGATTTATGCATTAACCTAACATAATCAAATATACTATATAAATTAATATGGTGCTTATGTACCTAGAAGCAGAAAGGGGCAATCAACTAACATTTATTGAGCGCCTACGGAGGCCCAATACTGGGTTGGGCATGTTCATACATGCTTTTAGGAGCCTACTGAGCAGAATAATAGAAAATGGCACATATTTTAATGCCTTTTTAAAGTCCACATAATTACCTTATGCTGTACATTTAATGTCCACTGTATTTATAGATATAGTGACCAGATTTTAAAGAAATCAAGTAAGCTTCACTATTATTGATACATAATTTGAAAATACATCAACAAAATCTCCATCTACATTTCCATGCTTAGAATCAATAGAAAAAATACCAAAAAAATTAATGTAAAGCATGAGTTCTTAGGGACATTTTATGATCTTAGAAGATTTCTATTTAGACTATGAAGCTAGGAATTCTGAAGTTCACATTCACTCCTCTGTTTATTCTCCCCTCTCTCAAGGGTATAAGTTAGCAGAATATTTGGGAATTTCCAAATCCCTAACAAACTCCTGAAGGAAGCCACACCATGTAATATTAAGATTGCGGAACTTCTTAAAGATCTCAAAAGACTAGGATCCTCAGACAGAACCAATCAAGTGCCCACATTATAATGAAACAGCAAGTAATGAGGGTACAGAATAAAAATTCAGATCATGAGGTACAAGAAAGCCTAAAAGCTACCAGAGAAGAAAATAAAAGAGTTAAATTCAAAGGAACACCCATCAGAATGGCACAAAACTTCCCAACTCCAGATGCTAGAAGAGTATAATCTTCCAATTCTACAGGAAAATACTTTTCAAAGTACAATTCTCAACCTAGCTACACAAGCAACTATGTGTGAAGACAGAATACGTTGTAGACACAGGAAGACTCAAAATTCAGCTCCTTCATTCTCCTTCTAATAAAGTTACTTAGAGATATGCGGAACAGAATGAGGATGTATTACAAAGAAAAGGAAGACTTGGGATCTATAAATCAACAGATCTGACAAAGGACATCAGGCCAGGGAAGTTTAAGGATGAGAACAACACACCCAGAAGCCACTGGCACATATCAGAGCAGGAGAAGGGAATGTCTAGAAAGAGGGTAGGACTTCTCCCAGAAAAAAACAGTACTTTAAAAAATAATCTTATATGATAGTTCTATAGTAGGCAAAAACAAAGAACGAATGGAGAGTCACTATTACTTTCTTGTTATTAAAAACTCCATGAAAGACAAAAGAAACTCATAGTATACTGTTTAGATCTGCAGTGAACATTTACTGAGTCATAACCAACACCTTATTAATTGAACTAAACATAGTAATACAACTATATTGGGAGAAGGAAGGAGGTGTATTTTAAGACCTAAATCAGAATTTATTTATTCATAGCAGAAAGTCAACAAAATCTAGCATTGATAAAGCAGTAAACCAGTTGATTATTTAGAGCTATAGCATTAACCACAAGAAAAAAGACCTGAAAAGATTAAAAGTGATTCCCTCAGATGTGGACGTAGAGTAAGACAAGAGTTGGTTGTTCATTACAAGGCCTTTTTTTTTTTTTTTGAGATGGAGTCTTGCTCTGTTGCCTGGGCTGGAGTGCAGTGGTGTGATCTCAGCTCACTGCAACCTCCGGCTCCCATGTTCAAATAATTCTCCTGGCTCAGCCTCCTGAGTAGCTAGGACTAGAGGAATGAGCCACCACACTCGGCTAATTTTTGTATTTTTAGTAGAGATGGGGTTTTACTGTGTTGGCCAGGCTGGCTTGAACTCCTGCCCTCAAGTGATCCACCCGCCTCGGCCTCCCAAAGTGCTGGGATGACAGGTGTGAGGCACCACACCTGGCCCATTACGAGGCTTTTAATGTCATTTGATTTTTAAACATGTATATTTATTATTTTGATTAGCTTATTGATTTTTAAGAATTTGTCTTAGATTACCAAGTTAGTATATTATTTGCCCAAATGAAGGAAATGGCCTGGGGTAAGATCAGGGTGGCTTAGAGCAGTAGCCAGCAAACATTTCCAATAAAGGGCCAGAGAGTAAACAGAAAGTTTTGAGGGCCATATGATCTGTTGCAACTTTATAAAAACTCTGCCAGTGTAATGCAAAAACCGCTACAAATATATGTAAACAAAAGAACTTGGCCATATTTCAATAAAAGTTTATTTGCAAACACAGGAAATGGGCCAGATTTAGTCTATGGGCCAGTCTGCCTGATCCTGGCTTAAACAATGACCTGAAGACAAAGTGGCAGACAGATCTGAGGTGTTTAGTGGCAGAACTTTTAAAATATTTATCTTCATTCCTACTAAGTTTTCTTCACAGATACCTGTGGTCCCTTTTACAACCAAACTCTCAAGTTTCTCCGCTTATATTCACTCTTCAAAACACTACAGTCTGGTCTCTACACCCACATCCACTCATAACTGCTTAAGCCAGGCTTGTCAAGACCTTCTTATTCTCAAATCTAATGGAAACATTAGTGTTTGTGTTTCTTGACTTCTAGTACTTCAACACTTCAACAATTTCTCCGTCTTTGAAATTTCCTTTTAACTTAGGTACTGGGGTTGTACTATCATTTTTTTCTTCCGTTGAACCAGTTTAGCCTTAGTTTTAAAAGTTTTTTCAAATAAGATGTCATCCAGGATTCCATCCATGGTACCATGTCCAAAGTTGTTACAGATATGTTTTATAATCTAATACGGATACATGCTTCAACGATAATGGAGTATATGGGACCAGGCTGTTTTCCCATAAGATAGTAGAAAATTGGACAAAGTGTATGAAACAACTGTTTTCAGATATTGGACAACACATAGTAAAGGAGACAGTGGTCTCTGAGAGGAAGGAAACACTCAGGGAGTCCTATGATATTCTGCCTAGAAACATTTTCCAGAATCCTGCCCAGGGAGGGAGAACCGCAGCAGAGTACAATCAATGGCCTCGCTGAGGTTAGGGGAGGCGAGGCAGTGGAATTTGCAGGACACAGTACTCAAAATGAAGAAGCAATAAGGACTAAGAGCTCCAGAAATCTACAAAGGATCCCCTGAAGTCTTTGGTGGAACACCAAGCCGTACTTCTAGAAGCCCAAAGACCCACAACCAGGGGAAAGTACATCTACTGGGAATGTGTAAGCTGCACAATTACCAGAGCTTGCAAAAGGCTCAAAGACAAGTGAAGCACAACCAGTCAGAGTACAAAGACACTGGTGAACAGGGGGTAGAATTCAGTAGTGATCCCAGAAAGGCCAAGTCTTAAGTATAGGGTTAAACTAATGCTAGGACTGCAGCTACCAAAATGTGGACTAGGGAACCCCAGTGGGTCTGTAAAGTTAAAACAAGTTTAAATAATACTAAGATTTAATTTGCCTTTTTTCACTTTAATTTATTCACAATTATACAGTGGTGTTTATAGAAGCTACATGTTGTATCATAATATTACATTGACATTGTACAGGTTGTGCTTCTGTAGTCTTGTGTTACAAAATGTTCCTAGTTTTAATTTCTAAAATGCTGAATAGTCGATAGTTAAAATCCTCATGAACAAAAACTATGGCGTCCCCAGTAATTTTAAAGAGTGTTAAGGTTCTAAAACCATAAAGTTTGAAAATATCCACCTTAGAGTGAAGGCTTTCTAGACTTGCCCCAGCAAGCTTAAAAAGAAGCTTCAAAGGTATCAAACTTATCCACAAACAATTGCCTCCTGCAATAAAAATGCAAGCTGAGCCAATTCACATATCCCTAGTATATTTCTAGATACTGCTGTATTTCTCAATGAGACTGCAGTATTCTATACTGTCCAAAACAGTGTCATGTAAAAGGAACCACACATAATTTTTAAAAACAGGAATAACTAGGTGTCTGATAGTGCACTAATTGTCCAATCTTAACTTATGTAAGTCGTACTCATCTGTAAAATGGGAATTCGGTAATTGTTGGATGGGTTAAAAGAAATACATTACTATCTTGAAAGGGATCTTATTCAATTTCCTTAGGTCCAAAACATTAAGCATTCTAAAAAACAAAATCTAATGATAGCAGCTACTTTTATACAGAATATAAAGTACAAAGAAGAAAAGAAACATGTTTTATGCATATATAACTCCATTTTTAATTGGCTTTATATACTCTGTGTTTTTCAGTCACATACCATGAGCAAGCAACTAATTTTAAAAAACTACAGAAATTAACCATACTAGTCTTCTATTTTGGATAGTATTAATTACAATCTTTCATTTTGATTCCTAAATTCACAAAAACCTGTATTACCCTATAAAATAAATACTAGTGTAGTTATCAACAAAGAATTCTGAAGGAGATAATGTTGATTTGCTTACTATACTGACATTTTACTGACAATGATATAACACAGTGATGTCTGAAGGGCAGGGGAGAATGGTATAAAAATCACTCATGGTTCACAACCTATTATTGAAACTGAGGTTAGTATTTATATTACATGGTATGGCAATACTAGAAAAGATTTCCTTGTGGAGTATACAGTTTAAGACCTCTGCTGTACAGCTATACCTCCATGCTTGCTTCCAGTGGCCATGACACTTTATTCAAATATGTAAGTTTTATTAAGACTGAGTTCTTAAAAAGAAAAAACCAAGAACCTTAGATACAACTAGTGAAGTATTGAGACCTGTCCATATTTAAAACCAAGCACACGATACCGCTTAAAAGGTTCCCCAGAAAGCCTCTATCCTGAAATGCTTGAAAGTGAGCAGTGCTGACTCTCGATTATTACCGATTGCATTAAATATGACACTTGTTTTCTTTCTTTTGGCTATAAGGAGAAAATGTCATTTTGTATATGAGTGAGCACAGAGGAGAGAGAATGTGGGAAAGAACAGAATGGGATAATAATTTTTTACTAAATACTCCAGTTCTCAGCTTTATAAATCAACAGACAAAATGAATCAGCTAAACCTAAAATCTTTGTGAATAGTATAAATTGTCTTTTAAATTAAATGCATATATTTTTATGTTTTACTTTTTCAAGACAAAAGCAGGATATTAGTACAATATAAGATTTATAGAGGAGCAAATTTCTTGAGATAGGAAACCCTTAAAAGCAGTATTTAAAGTACTTAAATACGGTCACATATGTTTAATAATCATAATACTTAATTGTGAGAACTGGGAGCTCATGTTACTACTAAAACCAAATAAAAATTCAATACATATTTGTTAACTCAGTTTAAGGATGTTTACCTTAATACTGACACAGTATGGATGGTAACACTGACCACACTGAGAACAGGCAAGTAATCTTCCTTCTGCTCCTTGGCCAAAACTGCCACAAACTACACATATATCCTGAAGTTAAGAAAACAGAACATATTTTAAATGGAGACTAAGCTAAAAACCTACAAATTTTACTTTAAAAATACCTTCTTAACTAATATAGCTCTATAGCTAAATATTGGATCACTTCTGTGTATATGAGATAAAGCAGAAATGTGCAAGGAGGAATTCAATGAGGAAGACAGTAAATTGTCAAGTTCAAACCTGATTCAAAGTGAACTTGTCACTGCTAGAAAACAACACAACCATATCGAGCACAGAGTTTTCTTCATCATCCTTATTTGATGAAATATCTGCAGTAGACACCTATAAAAAGCAAAATACACAAAATACGAAGTTATATTTTTCACTTGTTTTACACTTAACTGGAAAGCTTCAGAAAATTCATAATCAAAACATATATTTTTGCTAAGGTCTAGAATAACAATTCCAAATATTAATGCTAAGATACTACAGCAAAATGGAGTCATGACATTTTATTATTCAACTCATTCTCTCTTTAGAGGTAGAATTCCTTTAGACCAAGAAGTAATGAGAAAATATAATAAAGCTGTCTTAGTAAGACTTGATTATGCAGAATTCTAATCAAGAAACTATAAATGATAATATTATAGGTATGTACACACACAAATCTATCACTATTTTAATGACACACACTTGGGATCTGCAATGTAGTTAGTCTGAACTGAGATGTCCTGCAAACATAAAATACAGCACATAATTACATATTACATGTTGAAATGGTAATATTTTAGATATATCGGTCAAAATGGAAGGCATTAAAATTAATTTCGCCTGTTCACTATAACCTTTATTTTGTTTCGAGAGGAGTTTCACTCTTGTTGACCAGGCTGGAGTGTAATGGCGCGATCTCGGCTCGTTGCAACCTCTGCCTCCTGGTTCAAGCTGTTCTCCCTGACTCAGCCTCCCAAGTAGCTGGGATTACAGTTGTCCACCACCATGCCCAGCTAATTTCTGTATTTTTAGTAGAGACAGGGTTTCACCATATTGGTCAGGCTGGTCTCTTAACTCCTGACCTCAAATGATCCACTGCACCCAACTCACTGTAACTTTTTAATGTGGCTACTAGGAAGTTTTAAATTGCATATGTGGTTCTCATTATATTTCTATTAGCACCGCTTTAGAATATTATTTTGAATAACATCCAAATTTCAGTATCAGCCAAATGATTATCAACCAATATTGTTCAGTCTGGACTTAGTTCTATTTGACTAAATCAACTAAGTAGCCACTGGTTTGTTAATAATTTCTAGAGTGATATGAAACAAAATAAAGCTCTGAACTAGAAGTTGTAGAAGAAGACAAGGAGGGCACTGCCAAAATCATAAAATACAATCCTCTTTCTTTAAAAAGCTTACAACCGAAGCCTGGAAAGACAGAGTTGAAACACAACAGGTTATGTTCAAGGTCAAAACATAAAACGACTGAATTACTTTTCTTGAGGAACAACTGAAAGATTAACCAGCTGGGTGTGGTGGCTCATGCCTATAATCTTAGCACTTTGAGAGGCTAAAGTGTGTGGATCGCTTGAGCTCAGGAGTTCGAGACCAGCCTGGGCAACATGGTGAAATCCTGTCTCTACCAAAAATACAAAAAACAGCCGAGCGTGGTGGCACACGCCTGTAGTCTCAGCTACTCAGGAGGCTGAGGCAGGAGAATCACTTGAACCCAGGAGGCAGAGGTTACAGTGAGCCAAGATTACACCACTGCACTCCAGCCTGGGTGACAGAGGGAGACCCTGTCTCAAAAAAAAAAAAAAAAAAAAAAAAGAGGAAGGAAGGAAGGTTGGTTGGTTAACTAAATAGAAGGACTATATCTCAGTATTTTTCAATACAAATACATTTAAAAGCAGTTTTTTTTGGTTTGTTTTTTTGTTTGTTTGTTTTTGAGATGGAGTCTTGCTATGTCACCCAGGCTGGAGTGCAGTGGCACAATCTCAGCTCACTGCAAGCTCTGTCTTCACGGCATTCTCCTGCCTCAGCCTCCCGAGTAGCTGGGACTACAGGCGCCTGCCACCATGCCCAGCTAATTTTTTGTATTTTTAGTAGAGATGGGGTTTCACCATGTTAGCCAGGATGGTCTCGATCTCCAGACCTCACGATCCACCCACCTCGGCCTCCCGAAGTGCTGGGATTACAGGCATGAGCCACCGTGCCCAGCCTAAAAGCAGTTTTAATGGATAGTACTAATGCTTTATAAGAGCAATTTATAGTCATATGAACCCTAATGACTACAAGTGTTAATAATGCCAATATTCATCATTAGGGAGTAAGTAAAGCCATGACAAATCCAAACATTAGAAAATTATGCAACATTTTAAAAGTAGGGAGGTAGAAACTTGTATAGACTGCCATGAAAGAAATTATCAAAAGACGTTATTGATGAAAAAATAAATTGCAGAACAGTATTTGAGGTATAGCACTATAATATAAAAACATGCAAAGTCATTATATGTAGTCTATGGGCACATATAATAGGTTGAATCATAAGAAATTGCTGCTTTTCATCAGTTCAGAAATAATATTGGCAATTTCATATGGATCAACCTAATATATAAATATACCAAACTGGTAACAGGGAAATAAGGAGGACTGAGGAGTTAGTAATGGTAAATTCTGATCTACCTATAACGCTTTAATTTTTTTAATAGAGAAAATGTATTGATGTGTTATATGCATAGCATTAACAAAATTAGCTTTCTAAGATTTTAGAGAATCATCCAAGATGATTCACAAAAGTAGAATCATCATCACCAGTAAGAAACTAAGTGACTACTAAAAGTAATCATTAATTCAGTCATAGGACTAATGATGCATTGACAAGGCTATTGAGATATATAATTATGGAAATGGCTAAAATAGAGATAAAGTATCTATTTCTACCTCCCAACCACTAACAGAAAATTCAACACATTATACACACTGAGCAGCTCAAAGAAATTGTAAAGATCCATTATTATTTTTAAAAGGAAATTTAACCAGTGGATGCTTTCACTGAAAATGATAAACAATATATTCCCAGTATAAACCAGAAACAAAGTCTGCAGTAGAAAACTACAATGTCCCTAGATTCAAGTGGGGGTGGGGAGTCATATTTAAATAATAAGTGCAGAAAAACCAAAATATTTTAAAATAATTGTCCATGCAAGAAAAAAAACAGTATCATCTAGCTTGAAGACCCACTGTTTTTATTTTATAATTTATTTCATGACCTTTAGACTGCTAGAAAAATAAAACCTAACTTGAGGGCAAAGGTAATCTTTGAGAAAATATGTGCTATTGTTGCCTGCATAGATAATAGTGTGATTTATCCAGAAGGTGATAGAAATTTCATTTTCCTAGACCACAGATATAAGCCAAGGAGAATAGAAAGCTCTGACCTAAACTTCACAAGTGTCCCTTCCAAGCAGGGACACGTAAGAGTAAACAAAAAAAGAAGATCAAACTAAACTCAAAGTGAGAAGATAGGAAAAAATAAAGATGAGAATATAAATCAATAAAACAGAAAGGGGAAAGAAAATAGAGAAAAGTCCATGAAAACAAAGGCTGACTCAAGAAGATCAATAAGATTGATAAATCTCTAGCCAGACTGATCAGGAAAAAAATAAGACAAGATACAAATTATTAGTATCAAGAATGAGGAAGGTGAAATCACTACAGATTCTACAGGTATTAAAATAATAAGAAACATTATGATCAACTCCATTCCTTTAATTTGTCAAGATAGACAAAATGAACAAATTTCTTGAAAGGTGCAAATTTATGCAAGGAGAGACAGATAACCTAAATAGGTACCTATTAAAGAAATAAAATTTGTTGTTAAAAACTGTCCCACAGGCTGGGCACCAGTGGCTCATCCCATAATCCTAGCACTTTGGGAGATGGATCACCTGAGGTCAGGAGTTCGAGACCAGCCTAGCCAACATGGCGAAACTCCATCTCTACCCAAAACACAAAAATTAGCTAGGCATGTTGGTACATGCCAGTAATCCCAGCTACTCAGAAGGCTGAGGCAGGAGAATTGCTTGAACCTGGGAGGTGGAGGCTGTAGTGAGCAGAGATCACGCCACTGCACTCCAGCCTGGGCATGGTGGCTCACGCCTGTAATCCCAACACTTTGGGAGGCCAAGGCAGGTGGATCACATGAGGTCAGGAGTTCGAGACCAGCCTGGCCAACATGGTGAAAAACTGTCTCTACTAAAAATACAAAAAAAAAAAAAATTAGCCAGGCATGGTGGCAGGCACATGTAATCCCAGCTACCCAGGGGGCTGAGGCAGGGGAATCACTTGAACCTGGGAGGCAGTGGTTGCATGAGCTGAGATTGTGCCATTGCACTCCAGCCTAGGCAACAAGAGCAAAACTCCATCTCAAAAGAAAGAAAAAAAAAAAAAAAAGAAAACACAACAAAAGCCCCCCACAAAGAAAATTTCAGGCCAAGATGGTTTCACTAATAAATTCATGTATAATATAAGAAGATACATTTCCACTACTACACAACTTTTCCAGAAAACTGAAGATGAGAATATACTTTCTGATTCATTCTATGAAGCTGGAGTTATGCTGATACCAAAACCAGATGAAGACATTACAAGAATGTAAGACTACAGGCTGGGGCATGGTGACTCACGCCTGTAATCCCAGCATTTTGGGAAGCCAAGGTGGGAAAATTGCTTGAGCTCAGAAGTTCGAGACCAGCCTGGACAACATAGTGAGATGCTGTCTCTATTAAAAATTTTAAAAAAGTAGTTGGGTGTGTTGGCACACAGCTATGGTCCCAGCTACTTGGGAGACAGAGGTGGGAGGTCAAAGCTGGAGTTAGCTATGATCGCACCACTGCACTCCAGCCAGGAATTAGAATGAGAACCTGTCTCAGAAAAAAAAAAAAAAAAAGAAGAAAAAAAAGTGCACAGGTCTACAACCGTGGTGCATCCACAGTTTTATTAATACTCAGCAAGAAAAGGAAGTACACTGTTAACAAGTACAACAGCATAGATTAATCTCCAAATAATTGTGCTGAAATAAATCAGTCCAAAAAGCACACAGTTCTGTATGATTCCACTTATATACAACTCTAGAAAATGCAAACTAATCTTGGGGACAAGGACGGATGGCAGGGGGAATGCAGAAAATTACAGAGGGACATGAAGAAACGTTGGGAGATGAATATATTCACTATCATGATTGTGGTATCGTTTTCAAGGGTGTATATGTATATATCAAAGCTTATGGAATTGTACATGTCAAATATAGCTTATATCAACTATACCTCAATAAGCCTGGTTTTAAAATTTTTCTTTTTGAAAAAAGGACAAGAATCTAAGCTTCCTTATTCCTGGTTTAGTAGTAAACTTGAACAATTTCACCTGTCTCCTATACTTAAAATGACATTTCAGAATTTTAAAAACAGGATTTTAATAAAATAGCGAAGTTATTACATAAAATATTTGCTAGTAGTTAACAAATATATTTGTAATACACATATAAATAAAGCCTCATAACATGATAGTAAGCAAATATCAATCTTAAAATTTTTTAAATAAAAGAGCACCTATATTACATACTGACTTTTTAGAGAGGGTTGGCATAGAAAGATAAGGAGTCAAAGAGGAAGGTAAGAAAAGAGAAAGGATAAGAAAGTAAATATACAAGAAAACGTAACCAGAGGCTCAAAAAAAAAAAAAAAAGCAAAGTAGGACAGTAAAATAAACATTTTGACCTATTTATATAACTTTTAAGTTCAAAATAACTTGCTATGAGATTTTCATCATTAACTGACATTTAGATTAGAGAAAATATACATGAAGCAAGCCTCACCCCAGGCAATACAACAGCTCCGATTCCACTTTTCAGCTTTGACCTGCCTCGGCCACCTCGCCCCGACAGTCCTGCACCTCGAGGTCTCCGCTTTCCTGGAAATCCAGACCCATG
Source organism: Homo sapiens (assembly GCF_000001405.40). NCBI lineage: Eukaryota > Metazoa > Chordata > Mammalia > Primates > Hominidae > Homo > Homo sapiens. Next base: position 91,711,860 of record NC_000002.12, read on the forward strand.
GCCCTATGTAACAGATTAGGAAAAGTCAACATTCTGTGACAGCCCAAAATAATTTTTAAATCCAAATGCCACTGAGATAAAACATTTTATTAAATGTTATACAAACACTTCTTTAGATAAGTATTAAGAAACCTGGTATTATTTTTATCTTTAAAAGTATATTCCACAACTTAAAATTCTAAATATAAAATGCTTACAACCTTAGAATCATACTTTCGGGCTGTCACTGTGAACGCTATCAGCAAGCCTTTGCATGATTTTTCTCTTTGCCACTCCTGCATTCTCGGTGACGACAACAACTATAGCCTTATCCAGATATTTCGAAGTGCAACAAATTGTATTCAATATAGAGTAAGGATAAGGAAGAACTCTCTCATTAACTGGTCTCGCGGTGATTACAGTAATAGCTAACATCTATTGAGTACTTACTATGTACTAATCTAAGTATTTTTTACTCTCAACAATCCCATATAGTAGGTTTTATTATCCTCGTTTGAGATGAGTGTGCTGAGGAATAAAATGGTTAAGTAACTTGTCCAAGGTCGCTTAGCTAGCAAGCCTGGCTCCAGCGTCCCTGGGTTGGAAGCATATTCTGTACTGCTACATCAGCATAAAAGTTCATTTTTGCTAGTGTGTAACAGTATTCTTCCTGTCATTAAAATTAAGTCAGTTTCCTTCACTATTCAACAGTTCTCTTATGAACTCAACATTTCTACCTCATTCACCATTGTATTTAGAGGAAAATTTATTATTATTGTTATTACTTTTATTTTTGAGACAAGAACTTGATCCGTCACTCAGGTTGGAGTGCAGTGGTGTGATCACAGCTCACTGCAGCCTAGAACTCTTGGGCTCAAGTGATCCTCCTGCTTCTGCCTCCCAAAGTGCCAGGATTACAGGAGTAAGCCAAAGCGTCCAGCCAGGAAAAATTATTTGAGGATTACAGGAAAGCTGACAAAAGGCTTTGTGAAAGCTTTGCTTTAAATAATCTGAATAATAAATACTTGAAATGGAAATAATTTATCTGACTTCTTACACAAGAAATAAACCTATGGGAAAATGTGTTAAATTCCCTGATAATTTCAGACATTAAGTACCAGAGTATGGTGTTCCCTGCCCCCTCACCCTTGTTCGTACTAATTAATTACTCCTTGAAAAAACCTGGCACCTACCTAAGTAGATGAATTATGTATATTTAAAATTATCCAGATGCTCAGGAAAATACTTAGGTGTTTCTCTCACCATAAGTTAAATAATATGTCATATCTTCAACTGATGTCCCTTATCATAGTTTGAAATAAACTTATTCCCTATTTAGCAGAATGGTTTCCAAGTCAAAAATTTATGATGATACTGTAAGCATAAAATAGAAACACATGAACAAAAGGAATGGGAGGAATGGCTTTTTTCCCTTTGGATGTAATAAATACAGCCAGCTCCCAGTTTCAAACTGCCACTCCTGTCTTCTCTTACCCTGCTCTCCTTGAGATCCCTTTTGAGAAGTGCATCAGCTTCTTTGCACAACAGATAGATGGGGTCAGGTTAGTTTTTTGGGTTTTTTGTTTGTTTGTTTGTTTTTGAGATGGAGGCTCGCTTCTTTGCCCAGGCTGGAGTGCAATGATGTGATCTTGGCTCACTGCAACCTCCATCTCCTGGGTTCAAGCAATTCTCCTGCCTCAGCCTCCCTAGCAGCTGGGATTACAGGCACATGCCACCACGCACGGCTAAATCTCTTTGTATTTTTAGTAGAGACGGGGTTTCACCACTTTGGCCAGGTTGGCCTCGAACTCCTGACCTCCAGTGATATGCCCCCTCAGCCTCCCAAAGTGCTGGGATTACAGGCGTGAGCCACTGCGCCCGGCCGAGTTTGTTTTGTTATTAAATTGGTATAAAAGATTTTTGAAAAATTAAGTCAGTGATTAAAAATCAAGACTACAGTAATCTCTCAATTTATTTTCTCAAACATGAAATGCTGACCCAGAAAAAAGGTAAGTAAAAATTGGTGGTCTATATTATCAAATTGTCAAATGAGGTATATTTATACCTCAATATCTTGGATGATATCAGGGGGAGGTAGGGAGGTTAAAAAAAAATAGTTCTTCCAGTCATGAAAGAAAATAAAGTATAATCTAGAATTCCTTAAAATCCTTGATTAGTCTGAATTAAACAGCCATATTCCAGAATATTAAATATAGAATATGAAGAAAAACTTTCATCTCCAGTCAATGAAGTATTTTAACTTTTGAGTTAATACTTTTTCAAATTAATTTTTTTCTCTTCAAAATGCATCACACTACTTAACTCACTTCAAGGACTGGCACAGCCATCAACCAATGTCATGGGGGAAAAAGCCTTGTCATTTTAAGGTATTAAACAGACAATGAAATCTGCCACAATTTTGGTATTTCTTCTCCATAAGAACATAATAAATTAATGGAGTTTTTTCTTTTGCTTTTTTCTAAGCAACAAAGTTTTATGATATCATGAATGAAAAGGTCCTTAATTACCTTTTGGTCTACATGTCAAGGACTTCTCCCTCATAAAACCGGTAGTAATCACAACAAAAGGAATTAACCATAAAAAGAGGTATTAAAAATGTATACTTGATTTTTAAATGCAAGCATATTATTTCTTTACATTAAAATTTTTAGATTTAAAAAGTGTTTCTGGAAGCTCAATCTAGAAAAGAAAGATTTAATTCTTTACACCCAGTAGGGCAAAACAAATCAGACAGAAATGATATATGAACGTAAATGCAATTTTATTTACCATTTTGATGCTCCAAATGGCACTGCCAGGAAGCTGCCTGGGTTTAAAAATTTCCCGACCTCCTGAAATGTCTGGGGACCAGGAAGGTGGGCTCACTGTATTATGGGTACTCCAAGCCTCCTAGGATATGGCAGTTGAGAAAATAGATGTGTAAAACTCAGCAACATAAAAGGTCAAAGCCAGCAACTAAGGAATTTTAGAACAGCAAAAACAAATGCAAACATATGGAAATTTAGGACAAATTGCTTCAAGGAAGGCAAAATAAGCTAATCACTAACAGTGACTTAAACATTTAAGTATAACAAATAACTTAAATGTTTGCTGCTACAGAGACATCACTACAATGAAACATTAAAAATTAAGGTTTATATGACATCAACATTGACTCATGAACTGCAATTACTGCACCAAAAAGTAAATAAAAGTAAATCACACTTTAAGAATTAACACTAGAAGAAAGTATTGGGGCGTTATTTTTCTTCTAACAACTATCACTCTACTTAAAAGGAGAAATGGATAAGCATAAGGAATTCTATATTCTATAGCTATAAACAACCAAAACCAGTAGGCCAAAGAATGCAATGAGAAACATAAGCAATAGATAAATGCATAAACTTTACACTGTAGAGAGCTGGTAACATTAAAATGCAAATACCATTATAATCTTAGCATTTAATCACTCTTTCTTCAGTGACCATTAGTTGTCGGTTTGGTTTCGGTTTTTACTCAGGGAAATGAATACTTTATGGAAATTACATCCAACGGACAAAAGTGAAGAAACGTTAAAGCAAATTGTCCTAAATTTGCAAATAAAATGCCTAAAGTACCTGATAAATTATATAGAAAGTAGTATCTTATTAAAATCTATATAACTAAAACTAAAGCATTTTACTTCCAAACAACCACATTCAGCAATACCCTGAACTAATCTGAAGATGCTAAACAGCATAAAGAAAAATGTTTACTCCACAAAGATAACATTTTAAAGAAAAACAAGACAAATGTCAAACAATAAAAGGATATATTTTGAATTAGGTAATTCAATGGTGCATGCATAATTTTACCAATCAAGTAACCAAAACTTAAGACAAGGTACATAGTACTTACCAGGTTTCTAGAATATCATCAAATTAACAAGTACTATCTCATTAATCACATAAAAATACCACCAGGAATTAAAATAACCAGAAATAAGAATGTGACTACTCTTGGGGTAAGAGATAGGTAATGGAATAACAGTATTTTGGAAAAGCCACACAAGCAATAGACTGGTTTCATTTTTAAGTCACAAATTCAACCCACACACATTGAAGTCCAGCAATCCAACTCATTCTCTCCAGCAAACACTTTATTTTTTTCCCCTCCAGGATTACCCTCAGGTGTTCTTTCTTACCCATCAAATCTCTAACCTAGCTCAGGTAATCACTATGCTGATTTCACTGAGCAGCAACCACTGCAGGTCAATTACCTCACTTTCATAATTTCAAATCAACTTGAATCTGTACCTATGTCTTCTTCCCTACTATTAGTAGGGAAGTGTTGTCAAAAGCCATTTCTCTTTTCTCATTTTACTCATGCTCCTAACATCTGGCATACTGTTCTGCTGGATTTGGCAGCAGCCCACCTGTGGATATTTCACTGACTTCCTCGCTAATCTTTCTTCATCTCCTGTACGTGTTCTTCCTCTATTTGACTTCCAAAGCCCTGGAGTTTCCCAGGGCTTGAGCCTAGATCCTAAATGGTGTTATCTACAATGAGGGCATCTTGGAAGTTGATGCTTCCCACATTCTTATTTCTAGTTTTAATCAAAGATCTCCAAATTAGCAGGATTTTCAACTTCCTTCTTAGCATTTCCATTTTCTCACATAAAACCCCTCTTAATTTTGCCATGTTTAAAATTTCTCCCTTAACCGGTTTCATCCCAGTCTTCCCCATCCTTATAAATGGCATCCAGTCCCTTGTCACTCTCCTCTGCTCCTTCAGTCCTCTCCCCCAACACCTCGTCAATGCAAATCATCAGCAAATTCAAGACTTTTTATCTTCAAGTTTTGTCTCCGATCCTTCTGCTTCTTGTCACTTCCACCACTAGCAGCCCACTCGTGGCCACCACCATCTCTCACCTAACCTGCTACAAGAGTCTACTGCTGGTTATGCTTCTCCCACCCTGCATCTACTCAAGCCTTTCCCCACAGCAGCCAGAGGAACTTTTCAAAAGTACAAATGTGATCAAGCAAGTCACTATTCTATTTCAAATCTTCAATTGCTTCTCAGAGCACTTAAAAGACAAACCTTTCCCAGTGCCTTTCTCCAGCTCATCTTGTGGCACTTGTCTCCCTGCTGCTATGCTCCAGCTATTCTGGCTTCCTTGCTGTCCTTCAAACATGCCAAGTTCTTTATCAATCAGAGCCCAACTGACTCAGAACACTTCACTATACCATTCCAGCCCTTCAATAAATGTCTGGCATCTTCTTTCTTTCTTTTTTTTTGAGATGGAGTCTTGCTCTGTCACCCAGGCTAGAGTGCAGTGGTGCGATCTCGGCTCACTGCAACCTCTACCTCCCAGGTTCAAGCAATTCTCTTGCCTCAAGCCTCCTGAGTAGCTGGGATTACAGGCATGCACCACCACGCCCGGCTAATTTTTGTATTTTTAGTAGAGAAAGGTTGTCTCCAAGTTGCTCAGGCTGGTCTCCAACTCCCGACCTCAAGTGATCTGCCCACGTTAGCCTCCCAAAGTGCTGGGATTACAGGTGTGAACCACTGCGCTGGGCCAATATTATTTTTTTAAGAAAATACTAATAAAAAGGAACAATTGATATTAAATAAAATTTAACTATTGACTATAAATATATGTTTCAAGAGATTTGAGTGAAAATACCATTCTACGTTAAAATAAAAAATATAACATTCGATAACTATAGTAATAACATGTTCTCAAAGATTCAAGGGGCTAAAGCTAATGAGAAAAAGTTAAATATAAACATCTTACAATTTACCTAATTACTTGAAATAGAAACTTATGTTCATTCCTGTATTTCTCCATTTTTCCAATTTCTAATGTCTACTTCTTTCCATTTTGTATTTTCTTGTATTGAGGCAATTTAAAGAGGATATGCCAGGTCTTCAGAAAGCCAAGAACTGAACATAAGCACTCTGGAACCTATCTGAACTTAATTTTGTCCAAGATTTTTTTAATGGTTGAAAATTGGCTCAACTGGGGATACTAAGAGGAAATATCAGGGGCAAAGGGGATTTGGGTTAAACAGATCGAACAGGATTCTTACTGAAGGCAGGCCAGACTGATCAGAAATCATCTGGAGGGTGGTGGGAGATAACAAATTTGATCAGATATCAAAGGTGATCAGTACTGAGAGTGGGGGATTCTTTGCAAGTTTCTTCCTAAACCTGAGAGATGTGGGCCAGACTAGGATGAACACTGAAAGCTGAGGCTGAGAGGTGGCTTAGAGGATCCCAACTAGAGTTTGGGCAAGGGGAGAGGCTTTGTCAATGCAAACATGCATTCAGCAATATTACCAAGTACAGATGCATGCACATAAAAATACTGAAAGGAAATATAAGAAAATGTTTAAAAATTTTTAGTGGCTTATTTATTTTATGTAATTTAAATATATATATATAAAATTAAGGTGTACTTTGAACACATACTAACACATTCAAAGAATTAAGTATACATTTGATAATACATAATAGTTACAAAATAAGCAAGGTCTTCATGCAAACGAGTTTAGAATTTCCAGGGTTTATTACTTAGCATTTGATCAGCAGGCCTGTAACTTCTTCTGCTGCCCATTCATTGCCCATTTTATTAAAAATTCCTCAAGTGGATGCATTGGAATGGAAGAAACACTGACTCTTTCCTTCAAAGAAGGAAACAACAAACCTTGTTTGACAACCCTGGTCAAACAAGACAAGGACCAAGTGGCTAGTGGTAAGGAAAGTTGGTCAAACTAATGAATGACATTTTAGATTAAAAGTGAATTTTATTTAACCCAATTATTCTTATCCTATGCACACAAATTTGAATTTAAGTTAGCTTGATGTAGATGGTCACCCCATTCCAAAGCATGGGTCCAAATACCCTAAGGTTCCAGAAGGAGCCAGCTTTCTTCAGAAGGTGGCAAGTCATTGCAAAGTACTGAGGAAAACTTTCTTTAAAGTATCTTTTTTCATCATTCCATATTTTGCTCCTTATAATTGCAACTGCTCTCCTTATATGTCTCTTTTGAAACTTCTCACTTGTCTAAGGTGCTATTGTTCCTCCTCATCTTTTTTTTTTTTTTTAATAGCATAGTCTCTCTCCCTCCTTGCCATGCTGAAAAGGCTTCTGACTTGCTGTTCTTGCCAGGAAATATTTCTGCAGGGCGTATTGGAGTGGAACTACTTACAGAGTGTCAGGGCAAGTCCTTACATTTGTTTATGCTTAGGACACAACACAGAAGATAATTTTCTAAGTTAAAGATTGTATGATTTTATCTTGACTTCAGAAACTGGTCATACTTTTTTACTTTAGTTTCTAAGAACCTCAGAGCTGAACTTGAAACAACTTTAATAATTCCAATGAGACATTTGTTATTTATCCTTTTTAAAAAAGACTTTTCTAATTTAAATAATGTTATTATTGCTCTAAATTTGCCAGGTTCATGTAAGAATTTTATAAACTGTTTTAAAACTAATTTACATTAAGTTGGAATAAAGTTAACCAAATTAATACAAACATATTTTATTGCACTTCTCTTTATTGTGCTTCACAGATAGGAACATTTTTTCTTTATTTACAAATGAGATGTTTTTGACAACCCTGGTGAAGCAAGTCTATTGGTGCCATTTAACAAACAGCCTGTGCTCACTTTGTGTCTTGGTTTCACACTTTGGTAATCTTCACAATTTTTAAAATATTTCCTTATTATTATATTCGTTACGGTGATCTGTGATCAGTGATCATTAATGTTATGGGAGGCAGAGTTTGCAGTGAGCAGAGATCATGCCAGTGCACTCCAACCTGGGCAACAGAGTGAGACTCCATCTCAAAAAAAAAAAAAGGAGTTTTTATATGTAGGGTACAAAATACTATCTGACCTTAGGGTATGTGCAAATTTTTCTGAATTAATTAAGACTTAAATATCAACAGGAATGATTGTTTTTGTTACAATCACCAGGTGGGTGATCTGATACTTTCCCCTGAAAAATGCATATACAAAATTTTCACATAATTTAAAAACATCCACAGATGCATAGCTATGGATTCAGTTTATGGATCAAGAATTCAACTCCTCAGAAGTAAAAGATTACATGAGAAAGTATCTGATATTGAGGTGACAAGGAATAATGTTGAAATGTATCTCATTAAAAAGTGCAGACAGTTGTGGCTAAGACATTGGGTATTACAGAGGTGCATCCATGTGTCCAGTGAGAAGACTTTAAGAATCTGTTTGGGAATAATGAGAACATGAGCATTCTCCTCCCTACCTCTAGCACTCCCCTCCTGCTATTTGGGTATTGTGAATTTACCAAACACAGTGATTTAGGTCACTTTTATTATTTCAGAAATTCCAGATACCTTACTACTTATATAAAATAGCCCTTGAAAGGATGCTTACCATTAAATAATGTCTAATACAAAGAAAAGACAAATGTATGTGATCTGTAGTGCACAGTTATAATACAATCTGAATACTACATTTAAATTTTTCACTCCACTTTCCAAGAAATAAAGCATTGATTCTAAATATATTATCTATTTGTCAAAACAAATAGAAACTATCTAGTGTTTCATTTATAAAAGAAATTAATTAATGGTGTCTCTAAGTTAATTTTTTACTTCTTTTCCCCATATCATTTTTATATTATATGAGAGCATATTTTTCTACTCTACCCTGGAATTAATAAACAAAAAATAAGGTATGATATTTAACCTAGGGCTACCACATTTTTTTCAGTGTATTTAGTAGGTTCTCCTAAATCTGGAAAAGAAAACTTCAAATATAAACATAACCAAACTAAAATAACACCTTTTTTCTTCTATTTACTTTATTTCTTGAACTCAGTGATGTAATATGTCTTCATCTGCCTCTGAGAATACACTTAAAACTACAGAAGCAAATTAACATTTTCCCAATTCACATGTAGTGCAATATTTAAGATTTCATCTAATTGAACACGTGTTGGATCAAATTTATAATACTAAAAGCACTCTTCTACATACTGCAATGTCTAGATGGAAGACAAGCTAGTCAGGTGGCAGAGTGAACATCATTCTGGTAGGCCTTTTCAAGCTGTCACTTGCAAGATGTTTGGACTGCTGAGAATGTTAGCCATAATTAATTGCAGAGATAGGAGGCTGCAAATGGGTGAGGTAATGTTCAAATGCATGGAATGATGACTAGTCATAGTAAAAGATAATAGATGTGGCCACATTGCTTTGAGAAAATTTAGAGAATATTTTGGGTCACAATGATACATTTCTGCATTATTTGTGGAATGTTTTCAATGCAATTACATCACACAGGTAGACTTCCAGATCCTGTGTCTAACTTACTTTCCTTGGCTCTGTGGGAGAACACATATTCTAATGAAGTTCATTTTAAGGCAAATATTTCTTGAAAATACAAAACTGATAGATATATGTATGCAGGTTTCCTTCTTATACGTCTTTTATAAACAATGAAGTTGTATTTCTCCTTTAGTGTTTAATGTGTTTCATCAGATAATGCCCTAGAAGTTTTATCAAATTTTTCTGTCTACCATTTGAAGATGTATGAGAGGGAAAAAATGCAGTCTGCCTGCTTCACTAACAAAAGTAGGACAAAGGCCATCACAACTGAAATATGTGAAACACTTGGTTTTATGAATTTCAAGCATTTTATATCTCTACATTTGGACTCGAGTAAAGACATTTCATAGAAAAACTGAAATATTTTTATTTGTTTATTTGTTAATCTTGATAACCTGCAATAGTTTACAGCCAGAATGGCAGCTTTTATATATGTACACTCATTTAAATACAGTTTCATACCGTAAATAGCCATGGGGCAAAATATCTGCCTCTAGGCACAAAAAAAAAATCTTTGCCGCTAAATAAACACCTTTAAGTGATACTGCAAAGAATAGATATGAGGTAATTTTTTACCTAAATGACTCTGGCCTGTATTAAGACATATTCACTGTAACAATTCAAGTTTTAAAATCCTTGTTTTGTAACTCAAAAATATATCTTTTTTACAAAACACATCTTTACATTTATTGCTATTGTACATTTATTTGGCAGGAAACAGGGATGTTTGATGTCTTGCAATGATAAAGCAATCGTATTCAATAGAAAATTGTCTCACATTCTGCAAGACTTTTGAACATTCTATAAGACAATTACATAAGTGAAAAACAAATTTGTAGATATTTGAGTACAACCATTTAATATATGAATAAAAGCAGTTCAGAACATTTTAATGTACACTGCATTTTCTGATAGTAAGATTTTAGGTTAAAATAAGATTATACTTCAAAAAGTGTACCATTTTGAAAAAAAATCATATCACTGCTGGCAATGCCATTTTCATACTAGTCCAACATATTGCTTATCCATCTGTGTTTGTTTGATTTTACTGTTATTACTTTCATGATAATGCTAAAGTACATACATACACACACACACACACACACCTAAGGTGTGCAGGCTTTCATCCAAGCTTACTGGTATTAATTAAAAATCAACCAGAGGTAGGGAAAAATAAAACTTATTCAACAATACTATTGCAATAGGGAGAATATTCCAAACTCAATCTACAGGTGTCTCAGGATCAGACAGGAAAAGGCTTTCCTTTTCTAGGGAAGGACAAGCAGGGCTGGCAGAAGCCTCCTTGGAGAGAAGGACAGGCAGTGGGGTGAGCAGGTGGCAAAACCAGGATGCTCCAATAAAAATAGTTTCTCTGGGAGTCCCGCTCATTTTTGGAGTGAGCTGTTAGCGGGCTGGTCGGTCCTTTAGTGCTTGTTCAGTCTTAGGTGGTGAGCCAAGGTCCAGGGGCCTGAGGAGAGGAGACAAGACTGTCTGAAGTTTGATAAAATCAAGTCAATGGGTAGTTATGAGTAATTGTGAGCAATTGGTCAGCTTTGGGCTCAGCACACACCCCACCTTATGTTGTTTACCACAAACAAAACTTGTCCCTAAAAATTTTTAGGAATGGCATCAGATATAGCGAAGGTTTGCAAACTGATTTTCAGGGTTGGGCTGGTCTTCATGTGTTTGTTAACCTTGAGGACTAGGTATATCATTTGTTAAGTGTGTTATTGGACTGACAGCTGCTCTCTATGAAAAGTAGAATAATCATTGAATATAATAAAAAGAATAATTATTGAAGGTTGGATAAAGAGGTCCGCGGAGCGATGGGCGAGTACGCGGGTGCCACACGCTCCTCGCCTTCTGCTGCCTGCAACTGGTGGCAGCGCTGGAGCAGCAGATCTTTGACTTCCAGGGCCGCCTACCAGTGAGCTCCCACCCTAGCCAATTTCCTGCGCCTCGTGGCGCTCACCCTGGGCATCGTGGGCACCGCAGTGTGGCTGACGCTCCGGGCTGGCCTGAGTGCGTTTATCACCTGCTTCTACCCGAAGGCTGGACCCAATATCCCCAGACCGCGACTTCCCCACAGCGTCCAAATGCCCCTGTACCGATCCAGGGATGGAGAATCGCCGGGCAGCGGGCGACTCCGGTTCTGAGCTTCCCCTGGCCATGGGGGGCTGCCGTGCAGTCTTGTCCCTGGCTGCCTGCTGCACTGTCCCTGCAAAGAAGCCCTCAGCAGCGCCCGCAGATCCTCCTGGCGCTGCTCCGCTTCCTGTTCGCCAGCTATGGGAGCAAAGTCTTCCTGAAGGAGGAGGCAGCTTTGACTTCATCAGCGGCTTCCACTCCTAGGGATGCCAGGCGCCCCAGAAGACATCACGTTGACACCAGCAGCCTCTATGCGCTTCGGGTAGCCCTGCCCCGCCTGCCCTGGCCCTGTGCCCTTGGCGCTGGACTGACCTCGGCAGCCGCGATCTTGGTCAGGACCAGCAGGCACAGCCCTGGGGGCTCGGGACCCACTGCAGCCTGTGAAGGCCCCATGGCTCTGCACACAGAGAGGCGGAGCAGCAGACTTTGGGACTTGGCCCCTCACAACCAGGACTTCAGAGAGGATTGGGGTGGGTAAGGGAGGGGCCACGGAGTCCGCATTTTAAAAAATTTCAGACTTAGTGTGAGCTGGAGCTTTTCTCCCTTCTCCAGCCTCTTCCTTTCACCCTTCACCCAGCATCCCGCCCCTGTCCAGAGAGAAACAGCAGGAGGGCTTGCCCTTTCTATCTCACCGCACTCACTCCCCAGGCTGAGGAAAGCCGGGGGAACTAGGGGCAGGAGTTCTGGTTTCTCATCGCAGGTCCATCAGACTCTGGGTGACAGCTAGCAGAGCCCTAGCCCTCTCGGTGCCTCAGTTTCCCCACCTTGCCATTAAAAGAGTCCCTTGGTAGGTGAGCTCTTCTAGCCTTCTCATATAACTCTGAATTCTGTGGGCTGGGATGGGATTATAAATCCCATTTTGCAGATGTAGAAACTGAGGCCAAGAGAAATGAAATGGTTTGAGGCCACACTGCTAGATTTTGGTGGAAGCAGGCCTTGAACGCAGCGGACTTTCTGTAGTTTCAGCCTCTAAAACCCAGTGTCCTCTCTGAGTTCCATTTTCAGGCCCCTCACTACATTCACACATCACTGCTTGCCAAGACCTCTCCTCAACCACCATCTTATCAAAGGTGACAAGAGTCACCTTTGCTCCAGTTCCCAGCAAGTTCCTCATCTCCATCAGAGACTGCCTCAGCATGGATTTCATTGTCCATATCATTATCAGCATTTTGGTCAAAGCCATTCAACAAGTCTCTTGGAATTTCAAACTTTCCCACATTTTCCTGTCTTCTGAGACCTGCAAATTGTTCAACCTCTGCCAGTTACCCAGCTCCAAAGTAGCTGGGATTACAGGCACACACCACCACACCCGGCTGATTTTTGTATTTTTAGTTTCATCATGTTGGCCAGGCTGGTCTTGAACTCTCGACCTCAGGTGATCCTCCCCCCTTGGCCTCTCAAAGTGCTGGGATTACAGGTGTGAGCCATTGTGCCTGGCTGCTGCTCCTTTTTTTTTGTGATGGACCTGGGAGATCTTTAGGAATGAGGGAAATGATCCTTTCTTTGAATAAGGCAGAATACTAAAGACTAGCCAGCCCTCAGGCTCATGGTGGTTGCTGCTATTCTGTTGAATGTGAACCATAGCCTTTAGAAAGGAGCAAGTCTTTGTGGAATACACAGGATTTGAAGTGCAACAAAGGGGTGGAAACCCAGCTGACCATGATACCTTCAAGTGAGTTTTTCCACTGAATTTGATTATTTTCCCATTTGGCACTTCTTTCTGGGTTTTTTAAGCAGCCCAAAAACTCTAGGTGATTTTACTTTTGTAATTGTATTCTCTTGGGAATGCTCATTCCTGATTCCTCGTTTCACCAAATAGGTGTGGAACCTACTTGTTTCTGCCTATAATAATTCTGGAGTCTTTAAACAAAACGACTGTGACTTTTCATGATGAGTAGAAGATAGGTTTTACTCATGCTACAATCAATATTAATTCCTTGCAGTTCAAAGACACTGAGGCCTTGTCTAATAATATAGAAGTTGAACTTGGACTTGGGAGATGACTCCTGCCTCTCGTCCTCTCTGTGGCTCTGCTTTCTATTATTTTACTCATAAGCTTGTTTTGTCTCCTTGCTGAGAATTGTCAAACATGAAATGTAATTTCAGGCTATAGTGAAGAAAGATGACGTAGGCAGAAGAAATTGGCAATCATTTGGCCTGTACATGTTGCTTTTTGTTTTTTTTTCTGGACTTAGGATATAGACCACACCTTGACATTTCTGGCCTTTGAGTCTTTCACAACTGTGATTATAATACATTAGCTCTTCTAGAAGTTAGAAGTGACTTTGGATTAAGTCTTTCATAAGGTGGCTAAATGAATTTATATGGCTCATCACAATTCACTAGATTGGTTAAGCAGGAAGTTTACAGAGATTTTTTTCTTTGCTGTAAATGTTTTTCTAAATTGAAAAACTTCTATTACTGTCTTCTGGAGTACTAGAAATAAGTGCAAGTGATTGTTTTTGGCAGGAGGCCACATAAACATTTCTGCTTCTCTGTGCCTTATGGGTAGCATTGATATAAATTGTTAAAAATAATGATTGTAGATAGATAATGTATCAGAATTTGGGCTCAGCTGCGGTAGCTGCTGTTGACCCAGAGGGACCACTGGGATCCTCACATCTCAGGGCAGCACATCGTTTGCAGCAATGGTTGGTTCTACGCAACCTTTTATGAAATTAGGTGAGGCCCTTGCTTAGAATTTTTTAAAAGCTTAATATGAGTTTATATCTCTTTAAATATCAGTTTCTAATATTTTTTTAAAGGCCTATGTTTACAACAAATTTAGGAGATACCTTTATGCACTACTAACTAGTGTTCTTTTGTGGTGCTTTAGAAATTCTGGCTTACTTGTATTTTTGCTGGCCTTCTAATGATTTCACTCATCAATCAGAAGATATTTGTGTCCACCTCCCTGCTTCCTCTCCGGTGATCTTGTCTATTCTTGGCCATTTTAGAGTTGACTTAGCAGCCTTCACAAAACTGATTGGAATTTCCACTGGGATTAAATTGATAGGTCATTTTTGGGAGACCTTTGCAATATTGAACTTTCCAATCCATGAACTTTACTTATCTGCCCATTTATTATGTTTGTTTTTGGTAGATTACAAAATTATATGATCACTCCAAAAATTACCTTGCCCTTTAGAATAAAACCTTCCATTGTAAACTTCTGGCAATAACTGATCTGTGTTCCTCTAGCATTGCTTTTTTTTCAGAATTTTATACAAATGGAATCGTTCAGGATGTAGCCTTTTGAGTCTGGCTACTTTCATATACTGTATCAACAGTTATTCCTTTTAATTGCCAAATAGTAATCCATTGTATAAATACTACATGGTTTGCTTATTGGTTTGTCATTGGAGGAATATGGACTATTTTCACTTTTTGATAAATTATAAGTGGACTGGAATTCACAAAGTGCTTTTTGTCTGAGCATAGGTTTTCATTTCACTTGTGCAAATGCCTAAGGGTAGGATTGCCGAGTCACATGGTCCATGTACGTTTGACTTTATCAGAACCTGCCAAATTGTCTTCCAAAGTGCTGTGCCACTTCTGTTTCTTTAATAAATACAGGGGTATTCAAGCTGTCTGTTTCTTCTTGAGTTTCGGTAGTCTGTCTTTCAAGGAATTGATCTATTTCACCTAATTTGTAGAATTTAGAAGCATATAGTTGTTTGTTTTGTTTTTGTAGTGTCCATTCTAGCCTTCTAGTGTCTACAGGATTTGTAATAATATTCCTTTCATTTCTGGTATTGGCAATTTGTGTTTTCTCTTCTTCCTTTGTCAGTCTGCTAGAGGCTTCCTCATTTGATTGACTTCCACCTCCCACCACCCTTGCAAAGAACCAACTTTGGATTTCATTGAATTTTTTTCCTTTACTGTTTTTGTTTAAATATTACTGATTTAGTCTGTTTTTCTTATGCCTGATTTGAGTTTATTTGGTTCTTTTTTTACTTAAAGTAAATGCTTACATTATTGATTTGATGCTTCATTTCTCATAATTTAGTGCTATAAATTGCCCTGTAAGCACATATTTTGATAAGATGATGTCATATTTATTAAGTTCAAACTGTTTTCCAATTTGTCTTAAGATACTCTCTTTGACCTATGGGCCATTTAGAAGTACGCCATTTAACTTCTCATATTTGGGGATGTTCTAGAAATGTTCTAGATTCCTAGTTTAATTCTGTCATCAGAGAAAATAATTCACTGAATTTTAATTGTTTAACTTTAGGGTTTGTTTTATGACCCAGAATATGATCTCTCACCACCACCATCCAGATAATTCTTCAGGTTTTGACGTTTCCCAACCTGTCTGCTGGTTACTTTTCAGAGTACTTGGGTCATTGCTATTTATATTTTGTCCAGAGTTTCAAATTGTGATCAGTGGAAATGACAGGCCGTAGCATGCATACGCCATCCTGGCCAGCATCACAGGCGGTCAGCATATCTTTCTGTTGTTGTTTTGAGACAGGGTCTCACTCTGTTGCCCAGGCTGGAGCACAGTGGCATGATCAGGGATCACTGCATTCTCAACCTGCTAGGCTCAAGTGATCCTCCCACCTCAGCCTCCCGAATAGCTGGGTCTATAGGTGTGCTGCCATGCCCAGCTAATTTTTGTATTTTTTATAAAGACGTGATTTTGCCTTGTTGCCCAGGCTGGTCTCAAACTCCTGAGCTCAGGCCATCCTCTCACTCGGGCCTCCCAAAATACTAGGATTATAGGCATGACCACCACACCTGGCCAGTACATCTTAAAAATAATTGCTGATCCACGTTGAATAATGATGGCCTGTAAATATTTTCTCTTGCACTTGCCTTGTTGGGTTTTGATATCAAGGTTATTTTTATTTTAACCTTGTAAAATGAACTCGGGAGTCTTCTTTTTTTATTCTCTGTGTTGGTGGCAGAGTTTTTTTTGTTGTTGTTGTTTGGTTGGTTGGTTTGTTTCTCTTGTATGTTTCATGGAACTTTTTGGTGAAGGCACTTGGGCCTGGAAATTTCTTTATGGGAAGTTTTTTCATTACTGATTCAATATATTTAATCTATGTAAGTTTTTTTTCTACTTTTTGAGTCAATTTTGATTTTTTTTCCTAGAAATTCATATCTCACCAAGTATGGTGGCTTATGCTTGTAATCCCAGCACTTTGGGAGGCTCAGGTGGGAGGACCACTTGACTACAGTAGTTCAAGACCAGCCTGGGCAATATAGTGAGACTCCATCTCTACAAAAAAAATAAAAATTAGCTTGGTGTGGTAGTGGGTGCCTGTAGTGTGAGCTACTTGGGATGCTGAGGTGGGAGGATCATTTGAGCCTGGAAGGTCGAGACTGCAGTGAGCTGTGATTGTGCCACTGCACTCCAGCCTGAGCGACAGAATGAGACCTTGTCTCAAAAAAAAAAAAAAAAAAAAGATTTGTCATCTATGCTTTAAAGTCTGTTGGCATAAAGGTATTCATAATTTTACATTATGAATTTGTTTATTTGAGACAGGGTCTCACTCTGTTGCCCAGGCTGGAGTACAGTGGTGCAATCATGGCTCACTGCAGCCTCCACCTCCCAGGCTCAAGCCACCCTCTTGCTTCAGCCTCCCAAGTAGCTGGGACCACAGGCACGTGCCACCATGCCCAGCTAATTTTTGTATATTTGGTAGAGACGGGGTTTTGCCATGTTGCCCAGGCTGGTCTCAAACTCCTGAATTTGAGCATTCCTCCCACTTCGGTCTCCCAAAGTGCTGGGATTACAGGTGCGAGCCATCGTTCTTGGCCTGCAAGTTATGACTTCCTTTCAGAGTCTTTCTATCTGTAGTACAGTCCTCCTGTGCAAGATTGTTTTTTGAATGCTTTTTCTTGACAAATCTTGCTAAAGGTCTGTGAATTTTATAATGTATTTTTTAAGAACCAGGTTTTAGCAGGGCATGGTGGCTCATACCTGTAATCCCAGCACTTTGAGAGGCAAAGGTGGGAGGATCGCTTGAGCCTGTAAGGGGGAGGCTGTACTAAGCTGTGATTGAGCCACTACACTCCAGCCTGGGCAACAGAATGAGACCCTATCTGAAAACCAAAAAAAACACAAGTTTTAGCTTGGCTGATTCTATTGTGTGTTTCTTTCGTATTTCATTTGTTTGTTATGTTTTTCCTTTTTTCTTTCTTTGAATTTAACTTGTTCTTTGTCTGATTTATTGACTGATGCTTAGTTTTTTGTTTTTTTTTTTTTTTTTGAGACGTAGTCTCACTCTTTCACCAGGCTGGAGTGCTGTGGCACAATCTCGGCTCACTGCAACCTCCAGCTCCCGGGTTCAAGTGATTCTCCTGCCTCAGCCTCCCAAGTAGCTGGGACTATAGGTTTGCGCCACCACACCCAGGTAATTTTTGTATTTTTAGTAGAGCTGGGGATTCACCATGTTGGCCAGCACAAAGTGCTCGGATTACAGGCATGAGCCACTGTGCCTGGCCAGTGCAAGTGTCTTTAGCCAGCTTCATTTACTCCCTAACTCCTTGCCTCAGGTTCTGCATCCGTAAAGTGAGGTCACTAGGAGTATTTACCTCAGAGGGCTGTTGCAAGGTTAAAGCTGGTTATACAAGCAGAGTACTTGGAACAGTGTCAGTTACCTGGCTGGGGCTCAGTAAGTGCTGGCTGTCCTCATTGAAAAGGTTCAAGTGTTGTGTTTTCCTGTCACCTGATCTGGAAAGAGGTCAAACAGAGGATCTTTTAGCCCATGCCACTTCCTGTCCTTCCTTGGCTGAAGGCTGACAGGTAAGAATCCCCAGAAGTTGTCACCGATGTGCCTGTGGAAGTGCCTTCCTGATTGCTTTCCCTCTGGAGCCTTTAAGTTCCATGAAGCACTTTGTTGGCCTGTACTCCACCTATTCAGCATGCTGTGGCAGCTCAGTTCAGATCCCATTTTTAACTTGGGACTGCATAGATTCCCCATCATTTCTTTTAGGACCAGGTGGGCAAGAAGATCCAGTCAGTGCTTTATTACTTCTCACTGATATTCACAGAGCACATTTAATGTGAGCCATGGAATAAGAAAACTCTTAGTCACATTCTGTGTCATGAGAAGGTTACTTAACCTTGAAAACCATTTCCTTGTCTGGTAAATGCGGCTGTAATGAAATCGACCCCATTCACTGTTGTGAGGATTAAATGAGATGATGTATGCAGAGCAACTAGGACAGTGCCTGGGAAAGTGCTACTCATGATCATTTATCTTCAGTTTAGAACAATATATACTTGCTTATTTAAAAAAGGAGATAATAGAGAAAAGGTATTGAGAAAAATAGGAGAGGAGAAAATCACTCATATTCTCACCATTCAGTGATTCAGCCCAGTATCATCAATGTTTTGTTTGGTTGTTTTTGTAGGTGTAGGATTTTTTTTTTTTTTTAACGTAATTTTCCTGCATAAGCAGTTTCGCATTTTTAACCCAAACTTAATGTTCTTTTTAATGTTCTTGTACTTACAAAGATTTATCTTGTTTTTAGATTGATATCTCACCTTGGCAGAAATGAGATAAAATTTTAAAATATTCATTTGGTGGCTTTCACAGTATTATTTGATCTCTAGGGTCTCCTGTGAGTTTGCTACATGGTACATTGTATTACTTTCATCTTATAGATGAAGAAAGATACTAGTGTGGCTGAGTCGCAAGCAGAATTTGGAGGAGCATGGTGCTGAATGAGTTTTGATGATTGTAGGGGCCACAACTGGAAAAGTAGATGTAAAATGGTGAGGTCGATCCCTCTGACACTTTCACATGCTCAGTCACACATCTTGAACATATAAGTTGGATCCTGTGCCTAGAGAGGTAGGTTTCTGAGCCAAGGCATATTCCAAAAATTGCATGAGAAGCTGGCTTTCCCAGGCACAGTGAGCCCTCCCAGCTCACTACCTCCTGAATCATACCTCCTGCCCCTAGCCAGGTTTATCTAGGACTTGAGCACAAAGAAAAAGTGGGAGCATCTTTGAACAACAAATATCTTGAAAAACTAGTTAAGTGGTATCATATATTTGTGGGATGGGTGATTTCAAAACCCAGTCTAAAAGGACAGGACCTTGCTCATTGACAATTTATTGTCTGATGCAATGTTTCTTAATCTTTTTGGGTCTTGGATTCCCTTGAGAATCTTTTGAAGTTTATGGACTCTTTTCCCAGAAGAACACACTCATGTGTATGTAACACAATTTTGCATTCAATCTTAGGGACTGCAGGTGTCTACATTAGTTATATATTGGTGTAAAAAAAAAAAGCCCCAAACTTAAGGCTTAAAGGAACAATAGATGCTTATTATCTCACAGTTTCTGTGGTTCAGAAAGTCAGTAACATCTTAACTGGATACTTCTGACTCAGAGTCTCCCAGGAGGTTGCAGTCAAGATGTTGTTGGGGGGAAAGGGGCAGGTTCAGTGGCTCATGCCTGTAATCTCTACACTCTGGGAAGCAAAGCCAGGAGGATTACTTGAGCCCAGGAGTTTGAGACCAGCCTGGGCAACACAGTGAGACCCTATGTATTAGTCAGTTCTCACATTGCTATAAATACATGAGACTGGAGAATTTATAAAGAAAAGGGGTTTAATTGTCTCACAGTTCCACAGGCTGTTCAGGGAGCATAATGCTGGCATCTGCTCAGCTTCTGGGGCAACCACAGGAAACTTTCAATCATGGTGGAAGATGAAGGGGAAGCAGGCACGCCTTACATGGCCAAATCAGGAGCAAGAGAGAGAGTGGGGAGGTGCCACACACTTTTAAACAATTAGATACTGTGAGAACTCTAACGAGCACAGCACCAAAAGGGTGATGCTAAATCATTCATGAAAGATCCACTCCTGTGATCCAGTCACCTCCCACCAGGCCCCACCTCTAACATTGAGGATTATAATTGAACGTGAGATTTAGGTGGGTACACAGACCCCAACCATATCATCCCGTCTCTATAAGAAATAAAAAAGTTAGCCAGGCATGGTGGTGTCTGCTGGTGGTCCCAGATACTCAGGAGGCTGATGTGGGAGGATCACTTGAGCCTCGGAGGTCAAGGCTGCAGTGAGCTATGATTGCACCACTGCACTCCAGCCTGGGTGACAGAGTGAGACCCTGTCTCAACAACAACAAAAAGATGCCTGGGGTTGACATTATCTGAAGGCTTGACTGAGTTGACTGAGGCTGGAGAATCTACTTCCAGTCACGTGCTAGCAAGTTAGTGCTAGCTGTTGGCAGGAGGCCTCATGCGGTCCTCCCCATATG
The DNA here is from genome assembly GCF_000001405.40 of Homo sapiens. Lineage (NCBI taxonomy): Eukaryota > Metazoa > Chordata > Mammalia > Primates > Hominidae > Homo > Homo sapiens. Next base: position 91,732,585 of record NC_000002.12, read on the forward strand.
GCTGCTTTGATGTCCTCATAACATAGTGCTTGTCTTTTTATGACCTAGCCCTGGAAGTCACATTCCACCATTTGTGCATTTCCTATTGGTCACATAGGTCAGTCCTATTTAGTGCATAGGGCAAAGTCTGAGAGGGGAGTAGTGCTGACTGCCCATGCCCTCTCCTGGTGCACACCGCTTCCAGCACCCAGAAGCTCTCCTAACTCCGTTATTTAGGGTTTTCATATGGGATTTCATTACATGGGTATGACTGATCAAATCACTGACCAATACTGATTGGATCAATCTGCGGTCCCCCTCTTGTCCTTGGAGGTCTAAGGGTGGGGCTGAAAACTCCACAACTCTAACCGTGGCCAGCTCCTTCCTTGAAACTGCCTCCATGCTCACCTTCATTCACCTCATTAGCATAAACTCTGGGATGGCCAAAAGGGGCTTCTTATAAATAACAAAAGGTACTCCCATTGCTTAGGAAGTTCCAAGGGGTTTAGGAGCTCAGTGCCAGGAACTGGGGACAAAGACCAAATATGTATATATATATAAATACTACAGTAGTGAATTTTATATAGCAAACATGCATTATTTTTCTTTTTGGCTAAAATTTTTTTCTAGTTATAAAACTGGTACATACTCATTGCAGAGGACTGGGGGAAGGAGTAAAATATTAAGAAAAAAATAAAAATCACTTGCCATCCTGTCACCTAGTATTTTCTTTCTAGTTCTTTTCATGCAGTTATATATAACATTTTGATCTTTCTTTTTATGTTACAGAAGTCATATTTGCTTATTGCAGAGTAATCCAAAGAGTACAGAATGTCTAAAGTTTAAAAAGTTATTTAAAAAAAATGATCCTTGCCTGGGAGGAACTTTCTATTGTAGGTTGAGAGGGGAGATAGAGGGGCTGTGGGTCAGAGGATGCCCTGGTCAGGGTTGGGTGCCTGTGTCTCTTTGGAGGCAGCAGAGGTCTGCACAGCAGGGTATTACCATTATAGGGAAATGGTGGGGGGATGTGTGGAAGGGGAATTAAACTGCCAAGAAGAAAACAATTATTTTTATGTTGAGAAGCATTATTTTCAGGGGTCAGAAGCCCTTTGTGGGGCAGAGGGAAATTAAGGAGGTATTTAATAAACAGGTGCAGCTGAATGTGTGTGGTTAAAGTGCAATCCAGTAGTTATTTATTTGTCTGGATTGTTTATAACCTGCGTCCAGCCTAGACAAGTTGATTTGACCCTGCTGTCCTGGCTCATTCAGGCCACTTAACACTGTTTACCTTTGGGTGGGGAGGACATGCATGATCCGCTGGCCAAGTGCCTTTGTAAGGTCTGTAAATAGGATGCATTCTGGTTAAACTCATTATTGCATCACAAAAGCCAGTATCTGATGGGTCTCAGCTCTTTTCTTTTGCACTGGGGAAGACTGGAGGAGAATGAAACTTCCTTGAACCAGTGATTGGGTCTCTACCAAAGAGAGAAACTTAAAGCTAGTGAGAGCCTTAAGATATTTCATTTAAGCACTTGGCTGGCACCGTGTAGGTAGAGACACTTTAAAGTAACAGTGCTTTGCTACACCTGATTTGAATCATCTGTGGAGCTTCAAAAAAAATCCTAATTAATCCTAAGACCAGTTATGTCAGGTGGGGTGCAGGCACTGTTATTTTTTTTAAAGCTCCCCAGGTGATTCCAGTTTAGGTCCAGGACTGAGAAGCAGTCCTTGAAGATGCTGGTGTACCCTGACCTGCCTCCAGCCTTCTTTGCAGGAGATGGATGGGGGTTGGTTGTAGTTGCTCTGTCATAGAACACGGCAATTCAAAGGATACCTAATGTTATGAATGTAGGTAAATTGTTTGCAAAATGTTCTGTGTTTCAGGAATACTGCAATCATTTGATTCAAATGTCACCGTGTGTGTGTATACAGTCATGGGTCACTTAATGATGGGGACATGTTTTAAGAAATGTGTCGTTAGGCAATTTCATTCTTGTGTGAACATCATAGGGTGTATTTCAACAAACCTAGATGGGATATATATTTTCATTTATATATTTTATTATGGAAAATCAAATGTCCCAGCACTGTTACTAAATATCAGTCATTTCCCCTACTTGATCTGCCATGCCAACATTAAGTGCCATATATTAGATCTCTATATATGCTCCATTATAATCTTACAGGATCACTGTTGCACATGTGTTTCCTCATTGACTGAAATGTTATTCAGTGCATGACTGTACATATAGTAAAAATGTTATGCACCATATTTTAACATACTGATATTACTAATGAGTTGTCCTCATGGTGACTTTAAATATCATAATTAATGCCATCAACCAGAATATATCAAATAAATTCAGATACCACTTGTTCTGTTTATTTCCTTCCCCTGCCAATTTTTTATTTTTCCTGATTCTGCTGAAGCCAAGATGGGGTTCTGTGTAAGATTTTGTTTGTGAGGAAAGGTTCTGCATGAATTAAAGTTTTGCAAGCCATGGGCATTTCATTGTATGGGCTGTTTTGAGGTCTGCCATCTTGCAGATTAGATTAGCTTACACTGAGGCACAGTCACCTGCTGGGCTGGGCAGAGAGCTGCACTCCACTAGTATTTGAGCTGTCCCGGCTGTTCACCAGCTGGATCCACTTCAGATAGGCATAGCCAGGGCAGCCGCCATTCCCATTTGTGGGGGAAAAGGGAAGCTATCACAAGAATGGGCTGCAGCTGTGGGATGAGGTGGGCAGCCCAGTGATGGTGTCATTGTCAAGGGGCCATTGAAATGTCCTTAAGCAGTCATTGGCCAAATCCTGTCCTCTATGGATCCAGAGCCACAGAATGTTCCAGCAGAAATATGTCTTAGCCAGCAGCTCTTTATTGAGGACTGATTGTGGGCTAGGCTCTGTGCTAGGGTCTTTACAGATGTTACTAAATCTTCTCAATAACCCTATGAGACAGGCATTATTATCCCCATCTTACCAATGAGAAAACTGAGGCTTAGAGAGGTTAAGCAGCTTATCCAAGACCACAGTTAATAAGTGACTAGCATCGGAACCCATGCTAGTCCTCTCTAAAGCCTTCTTAGAAATCATGTGATAGATGAGAAGATCAAGGTCTGGAGAAGAAAAGCAAGTTGTCTGAGATGACACAACCAGCTCTAATTGGTGGCAAAGCTGCGCCTATAACTCACCTGTGCTTTTCACAACCTGCAGTAGGTGACCACTGCCGAAATGAAGAGGCAGCGGTGTGCCCCCTCCCACCTTCTGAGTGGCTCAGGCACAATCAGTGTTGAGTTGGCATGAAATGAGAACTTAAACTCACCATGCCACTTTAAGAAGAACATGCAGAAGGCAGGCAGAAGTGACCTTGGAGAACAGTATCTGAGCCAGAAGGCAGGAGGTCAGTGGGAGAGTCTTGAGTGGGAAACTCAAGGGTAGCCTGACTGTCCTTGTCACAGGTTTAGCTGGGCACTGTTAGTTCCCCCCTTTGTCAGTTTGTGGGAATCTGGGCATCAGGGATCTGTTTCAGCCCTTCACATTTGTATTTAGGTGTGCTCAGCTTAAAACGATAGCAGCCTGCAGGAGCTCAGCTCTGCCTCCATTTATGGAGGGAAGAGAAACTAAGGAATGCTCCTTGGGGTGGTGTTGGGGAGCAGCTACATGGGAAAATGAAGGGTGCAGCACCAGTAAAAAGGTGCTCCCAGGACTCCCTCCCACCAGCACTCGGACCAAGGAAGAAGCATTTAATTTCAGCCAGATTTCTAGATGGTCGCTTTTATTTGTTTTCATCTGAATTTGTGCCAAGGATTCAACTTTTCCTGCTTATTTTATTAAAAACTTTATACACAGCATTAATAAATAGATATAAACTGCCATATACATGACAAACAGAGGGGCTAAATGAAATTCCCAAGTGTCAGCTGTTGAATAAGTAACAAAAGCACATCTTGGCATGAACAAATTCCCGTATATTCAAATTAGGGACAGTGCTTTACCACAGAGTGTTTTAATTAATATTTATAAATCACAGAGTGCCTTTGAAAGGGCCAGTAAGCTGTTTATATTATTATCATGTCACACAAATAACAAACCCTTTGGAGATTGCTGCGTACTTTGCATTTTGTAAGTGAGCATGTTGCGTGTGTTTCTCTCCCTCGTAGGTGTGGTGTCAGCACAGCGGCAGGTCACCGTTCAGGAAGGACCCTTGTACCGCATGGAGGGCTCCCACATCACTATCTGGTGCAATGTGAGTGGCTCCCAGGGACCTCCTGAGCAGAATTTCCAGTGGTCCATTTACCTGCCTTCGTCGCCAGAGCGAGAGGTGCAGATCGTCAGCACCATGGACCCTTCCTTCCCCTATGCCATCTACACCCAGCGCGTCCGCGGAGGGAAGATCTTCATAGAAAGAGTCCAGGGGAACCCAACCCTATTGCACATCACAGATCTTCAGGCCCGGGATGCCGGAGAATATGAATGCCACACACCCAGCACCGATAAGCAATACTTTGGGAGTTACAGTGCAAAGATGAACCTAGTGGGTAAGGAGAAGCTGTCTTCACGTCGCCAGCGTCTGGCCTGACTCAGTTCTTTAGTAGTGTAATTTTGCTTTATGCCATGCATTTGACTTTAAAAAAAATCCCAAAACTCCCAACATATTTTAGGGGTCAACAGATAGCATAAGGAAACTAAATTTCTGTGTTCACTTCTAAATAATAGGTGGTTGAGGGTGAAAATTTAAAAAGATCTAATACAGATGTTAAGAATTTCATAAGTTAACTAACGCTGTAACTGGTGAAAAGGGATATGAAAATATAAGGCAAGGACGTTTGTGGTTGATGATCTGAATGACAAGGAAAATGAGACATATGACATCAGTTGGAAGAGAGGAGAAACCTCTCGGAAGGATAGGCCTTTCGGTAGCTCTGAGACCCATGGGGCACTGCTGAAGCAGGAAGCACATGTGGCTGCGGGTCCTTGTTCAGACCTTGTACATTGAAGGTCCTTTGGCTCCATGCGTAAGGAACTATGAACTGGCTGTCTCCCTTGTTGCTCCTTAATGCTGAAGGAAACATGAGGAAGAGGGATGCAGGAGCTGCCAGTGTGGGCAGCACTGGTCACAGTGTTTGCCAGTGTCAAAGGGTTAACCGTATCAAGGCTGTTCTGTTTTTCTGCCTATCTTAATGTCCAGTTTTTATTATCACAACTAAGCAGTGGGTGTTGCTAGTTCTTTTATTAATACACATACTATCATTTGTTTATTTTTCCTTTCTCTAACTAGTCTGTGTCCCAGCAGGAGACCTTTTATTTTTCATGTGTGTGTGTGTGTGTGTGTGTGTGTGTGATGGAGTTTCACTCTTGTTGCCCAGGCTGGAGTGCAATGGGGCTCACTGCAACCTCCACCTCCTGGGTTCAAGCAGTTCTCCTGCCTCAGCCTCCTGAGTAGCTGGGATTAGAGGCATGCACTACCATGCCTGGCTAATTTTGTATTTTTAGTAGAGACGGGGTTTCTCCATGTTGGTCAGGCTGGTCTCGATCTCCCGACCTCAGGTGATCCGCCTCCCTCAGCCTCCCAAAGTGTTAGGATTATAGGTGTGAGCCACCGCACTTGGCCGTTCCCAGCAGGAGACCTGTAAGACCCAATCCTTGGGTGAGAACAGGGAGAAAACACATACTAGTTGTGACTAGGGTACTCTCATCAGACAGAGAGGTGGTGCTATTTAATCTCCAGAAAGGTGCAAGCAAGGATCAGGGTATGATTCTGACCAAGGGATCACAGAGAAAATCTCTTCTCTTGCTTGAATCTCTCCAGACTGTGGCTTCCTTCCAGTGAGAACCCCTTTGATTGATGAATTATGTGAAAATTAAACCCACTAAAAATAGGGTATGATGATTATTGTTTCTACCAAAAATGGTTTTTTAAAAAAATCATCTTCCTAGGGCTGCATTGCTGAAGTAAGTTACAGGATGGGGATGTGGGAAGGAAAGAAAGGATGTTGTATAGAAATGTAAAACTAAAAGTTCCAGGAGGCATTTCCATTAGAGGACCAGTCAGAAGTGAAGTTAAAGTATCTCAAAGCAGTGCCAGAATCAACAACAAATGTTATTTGACCTATAAGACAATTGTTTAAAGACAATATTTTCAGGGAGTTCATTTATTATGTAATATGAAATACACCCCATGTTTTATCCAAGTGTTATTAAAATACGAGACAGGTAAGTGTAAGCACCAAAATAATGCATTTCCAAATCCGAACAGAAAACTTTCTGTTTATGTGCATTTGGGGCTGTCTGTGTCCTTGAATCGATGGTTCAAGGATGACTGTTAGGGACGCAGTGCGGTGACGCCTGCGTGGAATGGGAGCTTAGCCCCGGGAGTCTCAGATTCTGTGGCTTTGTGACTGCAGTCTCAGGACATTTCTGTGTTGCAGTGATCCCAGACTCCCTGCAGACCACTGCCATGCCCCAGACTCTGCACAGAGTGGAGCAGGACCCACTGGAGCTCACTTGTGAGGTGGCCTCGGAGACCGTTCAGCACAGCCACCTGTCTGTGGCCTGGCTCTGGCAGAAAGTTGGCGAGAAGCCCGTGGAGGTCATCTCCCTGAGCCGAGATTTCATGCTTCACTCTGGCAGCGAATATGCCCAGAGGCAGAGCCTGGGGGAGGTGCGGCTGGACAAGCTGGGGAGGACCACCTTCTGCCTCACCATCTTCCACCTGCAGCCTTCTGACCAGGGCGAGTTCTACTGCGAGGCCGCTGAGTGGATCCAGGATCCGGATGGGTCGTGGTATGCTATGACCCGAAAGCGTTCCGAGGGAGCAGTGGTCAACGTCCAGCCAACTGGTCAGTCCCTCTGAGCCTCTTGTCCTGTCCTTTACTTGGTGGTGAAAGCTGTCAGATACTGGGAGAATGTGGAGACTCCTTCTTTGGGCACCTCTACCAGGGCAGCAGGTTTTCATGTGAAGTTAAAGCCGGTCTTGTGTGCGGCCGGAGGGAGCTGAGGGATGTGCGGGACATAGGTATCCTAAGACCTGAGTCACAGGCAGGTGCCACACAGACTGAATCCTGCTTAGAGACATGCTTTCTTCCACCTACGTGGCGTTTACACTTTTTTGAATTAGAAACTCATTTTAAAAATTCAGAGATTTCTGAGAAACCATTTGTATCTTAAAACTCTGGGCTTTCATTCCCATTAGCCACAGTTGCTGCCCCGTTTAATGATGTTGCCTTCCTCAGGTACCCATCTGGTTTCATTTGCAGAAGCCATTTGAGATAATGAGACTTCCATCCAAGGTCTAACATTATGGACTAGAGAAATTTTGGCTTAAATTATTATTTTTTATCTAATAATAGTCTTTGGTGATATTTTGTAATTTCCAAAATGCTTTATCACATATTACTTCACCATCCCCCAGACGTTCTGTGAGGTGAGTAGGTGGTACCTATTTTGCAGGTGAGGATGCTGAATGCAGATTACTTTATGTTAGGGCTCAAGAGGAGTCATAGGGCATGTTGATGAGGCCAGTCTGAGAGTACCAAGTTCCACTGTAGATGTTTTCTTAAGTGAAGGCCTGGAAGGGGTCCTGAGGAGGTTGCATGATGTCTTTAGACACCATCATTTGTCTTGAGGCAAAATGATGGTGGCACAGCCAGCTGAAACCTTCCCTGGCTTCTCTTGGTATCTCCCGTGGCCCCAGACTCTACTCCCCAGTCTCATGAGCCCACCAGGCTCCAGGCCAGAGCTGACAGCTGTTGCTGGCTGCCTCTGCTGGGCTGAGGGCAGGTTCTCACATGGGCCTTCAGTTCCCCCAGCTTTGGTTGGAGCGTGGTTGTTGTGCCATCACTAAGTTGGTGATGAGTGGCCAGAAAGCCTTTCCTTGTGCGGATGCTCACTTCCAGTGAGGACTGTGGTGGTTCTGGTGAGTGAGTGTGGCTTTGTGGGAAATAAGCTGGTGAGTTGCAGTACAGGTGGGGTCCTTCTTCAGGACCTGTCTCTTGGGCTCCATGTCCCATTTGCTGCAGTCAGTTGTCTGGGTCTTTGCATACTTTCTCTGCCATTCTAGAGTAATGCCTCAGACTCAGCTAACAGTACACATTTTGGGGCTTCGTCCCAGAAGTCTTCAGTTGGAGGCTCCTGGGATGGGACCTGGGAAGCTGGATTTCTGGCACGCTTCCCAGGTGATTCTTCTGCTATCTACATTTTTTTCAAGCAAATCTTCTAGGGCAGAAGCAATTCTCTGGACATCACTTTAATAAGTCATCTAATGGATGTGAAATCTTTTACCATAGGGGTTGGTAGGGATAGGGAGCACTTTATCTGCTCTGTAGGACATTTAGCAGCTTCTGGATTTTTCAGCATTAAAAAATCTATCCAAGGGGCTTTATTTTATATTTATCCTTTCCCTTCCTGGATAGTTTTAAGATCAACTTCAAAAATTTGGGCCAAATTTTGAGTCTTAATGCTTTTAAATTAGGTTGCATCAGTTAATCTTCTTTATTTTAATCTTACCAATTTGGAAATAGAACTTTTTGAATTTACCCTGAAAATGTATCTAGACTAAGCCATCAAAAGGAAAACTAAGTGAAAAAAAAGTTGATGACTTCACTCTGCATTCCTGTGCTGTTTAGGTTCAGCAGTTGCATCTCCAACTCTACCCTTCTCAGTTTATTTCAGTAAACATGTAGCCAGTCTCCACAGCATTGAAGGTGTGATGGTGATAGGCATTAAGGGCTTCAAAGATGACTAGCACTGGTCCCTGCACTTAGGCAGACCTGAGAACCAATGGACAAGTAAAATGTGCTAAGTGCATTGATAGCATTTGTATAGAGTGCTCTGGGAATACCGGAAATAGGAAGTGTTCTTGCAACCATAGTTTTCTCTGAATGGGATGGTTGATAAGACAAATCCAGGAACACCAATAAGTTTCTTGACTTGAACTGAGTCTGGAAGCTTGAGGAGTCAGCAGGAGAAGAAGCATAAAAGTGCAAAAGTGTTTGATATGTTTGGCAAGCAGAAAGGAGTCAAGTATGACTAGTTCCAGATGTTGAGTTCCAGATGTGTGTGATGAGAGGAAAGGGAGCCCGAAGCCCCAAATGCAGTGATATAGAGCCGGGGCTTGACTCTGTGGGCCAAGAGTTTTCAAGCTGTTCTTGGAACCCTGGAAGCCCCTCAAAGGTACCTAGGAGGTTACACATGGGTGTGTGTTGGTGTTCATGTGCACGTGTGCATACTCAGGAGTGCAGAAAGAAGGCATGCAAGGGCCTGTGTGGTCCCCCCTTGCTTCAACTATGTTGGGCAGCAGAAGATTTTATATGAATAAAAAGTCCCCTTCCTTTGTCCTCTTCTTAATAAAGTTTGAAGACCTCTGCTGCAGACAGTTGGAGAGGAGGTAGAGATTTTTAAGCAGGGAGTAAGACAATCAGATCAGGGTTTCAGAAAGAAAAACCTATGGAGGCCACCTGGAGGTTGATTAAATCCGTTGAGTCTGAAGCCAAGAGACCAGGTAGAAAAGAGCTAATAAGAGCCAAGGCTAGGTCAGTGGGTGCCAGAGGCGAAAGAATAAAGAGCACAATGGAAGGAGGGGTCCAACTGTCTAGAAGCCCAGGGGCTGGGGCTGGGGCTCTGGGGGTTCCTTGAACTGTGGGAGGGAAGGAACAATAATGAGGACATGCAGGATCTTTTGCATTTGTGGCAGCATTGGCTGCCTTTTGTTTTTGTAAATTCTAGTGAAAGAGCCCATCCATCAGATAGACTCTGATAGAGATGCTCAGTATGCGAAACACCCAGTGGGTCCTCAGACATAGGGGTCTGGGGCTCAGAGACTGAGCCTGAGAGTGATCAGGGCCCTGGAAGAGCCCATGGGGTAAAAATGGGAAAGGGCCTGGGAGAACAGCAGCAGTAAGAGGTGACCAGGGAAGCAGGTGAGAGAGTGGAACAGAGTGGGCAGGCCAGCAAGAAGCAGAGCAGGAGAGAAGGGATCATAGAGCAGGCTCAGAGGCCTCAACCTGCTTGAGGAAAGCCTTTGGTTAGGATGGGGGTAGGGGTAGGGGTAGGGTGGATCATTCTTGACATTTGCTAAGTCAGTGAAGCCTAATTTCAGTGAGATGAAGTGGAAGGGGTATTGGAAAAAGCACAGGTCAGTTTCTAGAGATGTAATTGACTGGGCATAACCAAGGGCAGAAACAGGGGTGATGTGGGTAAATCTTGTGTCTTCAACCTGGGAACATGAAGGTGTCACCAAGGCATGGGAGGACTCCCCTGAGATGAGCAGAGTCTTTGGCCACTGAAAGAAGAAAGCCAGAGTTACAGCCAGGCTAACCTGGAGCAATGGAAAGGTCTGAAGTCTAGGGTACCCCTTGCACAGCTCCAGTGGTGTTTATGTGGAAGGAGTGCTTTTCTGTCATTGATGTCGGGTTATAAATGACTAATTGGGTTGACGTGAGAGATAATATCCAGCAGATAACACGGGGACTGTGCCATATGAGTGTGTTCATCCAGGCAGATGGTGGCAGAGTGAAATGTGCTTCCTTCAATCCATGCCTCTTAAGACTGGTCTCTTGGGAGCTGGAAGCTGTGACGGCAGCTACTTCATTGGAGGGGAGGCCCTAGAGTTGATGACGTGGTTTTCTCTGTCAGGAAGTTTGGCTGCTAGAGGAAGTAGTTAGGTCACTGGAAAGAAGGGGTGTTTGCAGCAGGACACTGGCCTATATCGGGGGGAGGGGCTGGAGAGCCTGAGGAGCAGGAGGGGTAAAGCTGAGCTGGGGCTGGAAAAGAGGAATGTGGATGCTGCTCATGCGTGACTCTTATGGTTTCTCAGGGAAACAGAAACCTCGTCTGCTTGAAGAGTGCCTAGGACGGGATGAATGGGCAAGATCTTGAAGATAGTGGGAAAGACTAGACATGCCAGTCTAGGGAAGGCAGGCAAGGTCAGAGCTAATGAGTCTACATGGAATTCAAACATCTCTGCCATGAGATTTTTTCCACCTCAGTGTTCTTTTTAGAGGAACAGAGCTAGAACTGGGCAGTGGTCACAGCTCCAGTCTCTAACCCTTAACTCCGTTTTCTTCCCCCTGACTTCTGCCCTGGGTGCCTATGAGATACGATAGCTGTCTAATGAGATTAATAGCCACTGTACACTGGTACACAGGTTGTGGTGATGCTGTTAGTGGTGATGAGCCCCTCTTTGGTCACCCCCTCACGCCTGGTTAAACACCCAACTCAACAAAAATTTGCCAGATATGGTGGCTACTCTGGAGGCTGAGGTGGGAGGATGGCTGGAGCCTGGGAAGTCGAGGCTGCAGTGAGCCATGATCATGCCACTACACTCCAGCCTGGGCAACAGAGCGAGACCCTGTCACAATAAATAAGTAAATAAATAAAAATTTAAAAAACACCTAGCTCTTTGGAGGCTGCTTGGGTTTAGTAATCATTTCAGAGGCTGTCTGGCTTTTTCAGCAGAAGTAGGTACTTTCCTACTAAAGTACCTACTAAGTACTTACTAAGTGGGAAAGTACCTACTAAGGTTTAACCAGGCGTGAGTACTTAGTAGGTACTTTCCCACTAAAGTAGGTACTTTCCTACTAAAGTAAGTACTTAGTAGGTACTTCAGTGGGAAAGTACCTACTTCCATTGAAATCTGCCTAAAGATTTGATCTGACAGGTGGTAAACTAGTGAACAGACATTAGTTTTTATTTTTTCTATGTAATTCTGTTAGGGTTTTGTCATAGCTACATCTTATTTCTAGTATTCACATGGTGGGGGGTAGAGAGGGAATTTTAATCTTTGAGCATTTGTTAGGATTGGGCCAGCACCTAGGCCACTCTGTAATTTTTTCCCACAGACCTCAGTGGGGTAAGTCTTACAATATCTGCTGAAAATGTTTATAATGCTGTTGCTTAAATAGAGTTCTGGGTGCATATATCAAGGCTAGATATTTGTAATCCACCATTTGAGTGATATTAGTAGCTTCTCACTGACCTGGGGGTCTCATGCAAGACATCTAAAGCTTCAGACTGAGCCCCATTGGTCTTAACCGGGGTAACAGTTTGCTTAGACCGTCTGGGCTGAAGTAGTTTTGAATTCTGTCTGTGATATTCAGGCGTTTCTCTGGACCTCAGATAACCTGGGTCTGAGTTGGATTTTACTCTCAAGCCAAGTGCTGTGGTCCTCCCCAAAATTAGCATTGTAAAGAAGAGGAAGGATAGTGGGAATGTGCTAATGTGGTTTAGTTGGCTGGGGCCCTCATTCCCCCAGGATGTGTCTCTTTTCTTAATTGTTCTCTCAGAGAAAGAATTCACTGTTCGGCTGGAAACAGAGAAGCGGCTGCACATGGTGGGCGAGCCGGTGGAGTTCAGATGCATCCCGGAGGCTCAGAATGTTCCCGACCGTTACTTTGCTGTCTCCTGGGCCTTCAACAGCTCGCTCATCGCCACCATGGGCCCTAACGCTGTGCCTGTCCTCAACAGCGAATTTGCTCACCGGGAAGCCAGGGGACAGCTTAACGTGGCCAAAGAGAGCGACAGTGTCTTTGTGCTGAAGATCTACCACCTCCGCCAGGAAGATAGCGGGAAATACAACTGCCGGGTGACTGAGCGAGAGAAAACCGTGACGGGGGAATTCATTGATAAGGAGAGCAAGCATCCCAAGAACATCCCCATCATAGTCCTCCCCCTCGGTAAGTAGAGAGATGTGCTGCTTTCTTCTCCTTTGGCTCAGCATCATTTAGGAGAGGTAGGGGGAGAGAGAATAGTGTGGTGAGGGTGAGGGGAGGCAGATGGAACCCTCGAGGTTAATGCAGAGCTGGGGGAAAAACCGTTGAGCCTATCTTCCCTGTTGTAGCCCACCTGCCTACATTTAGCAGTCTCCCCATAGCAGAGGATCAGGATCAGGGGTGTCCAGGATCAGGGCACTCTAGGGCTGGTCATAGGCCAATCTGATTGCTAGCAGCCCTGTGCATACAAAAGCAGTGCCAGCTCAGCTTGGAGGGAAACGAGGAATCCCAGAAAGCTGTTTGCTCTTGTGTGGGAATCAAGTCCCAGAAGAAGTGGGTAGATAGATGCCTGCCTTGAAATCTCACTTAAGGAGAGCTGGTCTTTTATGGGAGGATTTTAAATCATAAAGTGCATTATTAAGGATTTGCCATCTGGGTTTTTCAGGTATAAAGGCTGGCATTTCCCTAAATGGCTTTTCCCTGTTGAAATTGTGTTTCTAAAAGTCAGTGGATGGAACCTCTCACATCTTCCTGGAGCATAGCCTTTTAAGCTTAGCTGATTTCTGAGGCTGCCTCAGTGGGCTCCCAGCCTTCATGTAGACTGGCCTTGTGTGGGTGGGTAGTGGCCATTGCTAGGGATTCCAGAAACTACCGGTGTTTGCTTGTGTTGTGTTTAAACATTCACAGTATCAAGATATTCTTATTAATCTCATTCTCCCATAGTTCTGTTTTTAGTAAAGAGAATAAAAACCTATGATGATCTGATTTTAAACAAGTGGTAAAGTTTTAAGACTAACCTTTAACCTTTTCTCAGCTGCTAAAACTATTCTTTCTTTGAGCCTTGTAATAATTTCCTTTACTTTTTATTTATATGTTTTAATATTTAAAATATTTCTCTTCAAGTGTGAAGTAAAAAGTAGCCATAGGGGTCCTCTTGTCAGTCTTTTCTTCTTTTCTCATCAACTGGATTATTTTCTTTTATGCTTATTATTATTTTGTTAAAAACCATGCACACACATACCTAATTATCTTTTTTTCCCCTGGCAATAAATATTTTAATTTGTTTCATTTTTATGATGACAAATAATTTTCAAGTTTATTTCCTTGTTTAAATACAAAGCTAAACCACAAACAGGTATAATCAAGACATTGTGTCTCACATTTACACTCCCATCGGATCCTCTTCCAATTTGCTGACCACTGACCAGGCTAGCGGGGGGTGGGTGTGGGAGGGAAGACTTTCTTAGGTAACACCGTCGTAAGGCCCGAGGTGGGGTTGGGGGGGAAATCAAAGATGAGGACAGGCTCTCATGCCTGTCTCCATTCACATTTACCTGGGACCAGGGTGGGCAGGAGACACCAGGTCATGGCTCCTGAGCCCCGGCCCCCTGGACTGAAGGGACAGTGCATGAGAATCAGTTCTGTGAAGGGCGGGAGGAAGCAGCCACCTATTCCTCCCGCCTTCACAGTTAAGGTGAAAACCTTAGCCCTATCCTTGATTCCTGGGGGCTGCCGGGCCCTGTGTGCTCCCCTGCACACCTGGGTGCCTTTCTGAGGCTGGCAGCAGCGGCTGGGGTCAGGGGTCCTGGGCTCCTAGGCTCACACCTCAGCTCAGTTGCGTCCTTGCAGGAGGACACTGGGTATCTGACAAACACAAGGCCTCGACAGCAGGTCTGGAACTTTCAACCCCAGCAGGATGAGGGGGACCCACCCCCAGGTGGATGTCAGGTAAGTAATTTCTGGTCCCACTACAAAACTTTATTTTTGGTTAGAGTACCATTCTCAATCTCTTCTACGAAAAGCAAAAAAAAAGCAGCCACTTCACTCACTTCAAGACCTATATACATGAAAGTTGTTTTCTGTGTTTTTTTAAAATTATTTTTAATTATTATTATTATTTTTTAAAATAAATTCAGTGTTCACATTTCTATAAAGAATTAACCCAGTTTCAGGAAACCCTGCCCCAGCAGGGCAGGTAAGCAACACTCTCCCTGCCCACATCTAGTTTGATTTCGCGCCCTGATGCTTCAAGGTGCCCAGAAAAGCGGCAGCGTGTGGAAGAGGAAATCTATGCCCGGCCCGTGCTTGGGGCCCAGGGCTCAGTAAGCTTTCGAGAAAGCAGAGAGGAAGACTAGCTTACTGCAAAAACCTTTTTAAAAAATATTCATACACTTCAGTGAGCGCCTGTCGAGACGTTAGGAGAACAAGAGCTTGGAAACATCCCGTCCAGGCCATTGGGAGGCAGCGTCTTCCTCACACCCCGTCCCTGGATGTCAGGGGTGCAGGGGGAAGGTCCCGGCTCTTCCACTGGAGAAAGGAGACTCACCTAGCTTCCTAGTTCATGTTTGACTATTTCCTCTAAAACCTGTGCTGAGTCTTTGACTGCATGCACGGGAAGCACAAACGTTCGGCTTGTATGCAAAAAAAAGTACAAAAACAACTAGAATATAAAAGTTTCGGTAATATAAGGCCATCTGTTCAAGTCCACCTTGGAAACCTGTAACAGATATTTAAATACTACAGTGAAAAGGCATCTTAATATACTTTTTAAAAACATCTGAAGTAATCCGCTAAGATTAAGTGTGTAAAAAAAAAATTCAATTCCCTTTGAGGGCACTTTGTCCTTTGAAGAAGGGAAAGTGGGGCGGGGAGGGCGCGGGGCCCACCGGTTAATGCTTCAGCCACGGGTGGGCTTCAATGGAAGCCTTGCTGCGGTCCCCATAGTCATACAGGAGCTCCTCCCCAGCCGCGATGTCTTGGGAGGCGATGAGGATGAGGTGAGGTACGCCGTCGATGTCGTGCAGTTTGGTTTGGCAGTTCCCACATTTGCTGTGATTGATCGGTCTTCCTGGGCGATTTGTCTCTCTAGTTGCATCCACGCAGTAGGTTTTGCTCAGATACTGAAAATAGTACATGTAGCAGCCCGTGGAAGGGTCCTGTGCATACAGAGCCTCCCGTTTCTTGGCGTCGGTGATCTCGATGAGGTCCCCGTGGTATTCCACCACAAAGGCACCCCGGGAGAAATGCTTGGTGGCAATCACACCCCTGCCTTTGCCATCGATGAGGTCAATCTTCATTCCTTCTTCCTTCCCACTTTCAATCAATTCATCTATTCTTTTCCTTTCTTCAGACTGCAGCTCGGCTTTGCTCTTCCTGGATCTCCTTCGGACAGGGTAGAAATCCGTAAGTTTGTGATTCTGTTGTGTTTTTCCTTGAGCTTTTTTTCGGGGGGCCTGTTTGCCCTTGATGGGCTTTTTCAGGGCTTGCTTGGCGATGGCTGCATTGGTGGAATCACAAGATGAGGGTGGAGTTTTTGGAGGTTCTGCTGCTTCAGATTTTTGGTTTGGAAAAGGTACCAGGGGACCTCTCCTGGCGTCTTTGATCTTCTGTTTCTTGGACTTCATGGCGCTCTGTACTGCGTTCCCAGTATTTCTTTTCTCTTCTCGTTTCCTGTAGATTCCGGCTAATGGTTTCCCCTGGCATTTGACTTCGTGATGTGTAACCGAGTTCTCTTCTTGAAGGGGGAAACGCATTCCAGAGCATTTGTTCGGGCTCATGTAGGAATAGATCTTTGACTGCCCGGTAAATACGCTCTCCCCATCGGTGCGGGGCCTCCCCGGGCCCCTCCGCTCCACCATCTCCAGGCCCGGGGCCGTCGCTGCCGCCGCCGCCGCCGCCTCCAGCGCGCGGGGCTTGGACATCTTCTTGCCTGCAGCCCGGCCAAGGCCCATGGCAGCGCGCCCCGCACCCTCGCCGCCGCCGCCGCGGCCCGGCCACCACCGCTGCCGCTGCCGCTGCTGCTGCTGCTGCCGCCGCCACCAGCGCCGCGGCGGCGCCCCGGGGAAGGGCCGGCGGCGCCCCATGGTGCCCCCTTCCCCCATGGCCGGCAAGGCAGGGCCCGGCACCCGCGCACCGCGGCAGCCCCAGGCGGCCCGGGGCGAGGCACGCAGGGAGGGAGGCACAGGCGGCGCGTCCTCAGCAGCCCGCCCGCCCGCTCCACCTAATTATCTTGAAATTATTTTGTTTCTTAGCCTTTTCCGCCCTGCAATGCCTAGCATGGTGCTTTGCATAGAGTAGGTGCTCGCTGAATACTGTACAACTGAAATTATTGAATTGAATGCCCACTGTCTTTACTATTTTCCTGTCAGTCTGTGCTTGCCTTAACCACGGACTCTCTACTTTTAAATCTGCAATTAATTCCTCATTGTTTTCTAAGGATCAAGTGAAGGGCAGCCACGCTGTTTACTTCCTATATTTTTTGTACTAAGATTTCCCCCAACCCCTTCTGAGAACTTGTTTGATGATCTGTGGCCTGCTATATTGCTTTTCCAGCAGATAACTGGGTAGTTAAAGTCCCCCAGCACCACCAGATCCTGTCCCAAGGCCACTTGGGTAAGTCGGCCGAAGAACAACAACAATCACATCGGTAATGGTGATAATGCCTTGGATTTTAATGGCGCTTTTCCTCCTAAGAGACCGAAGTGCTTCTGCATATATCATCTCCTTCTCCGCTCCCACCTCTCAAATCCTCGTAGAGGCCAATATGATATCCATCTAATGAATGAAGAAATCAGAGCGCCACACAGGAAGTGACAGAGCTGATTGTTCAGTTAGTGGTTGAGCTTGCATTGTATTAGGAAATATTTGCTTCTAACTCCACACCCACCGCCCTGCGCTTAGCCTGTGCTACACCATCAACTTCCTGATTTGAAATTTCATTTGCGAATGTGTACTCAGATTTTTATTAGTTCTGTCCTAGTTTTCACTTAATCCAGAGAGTTTAAAATTGTCGGCTGCCTTTTCTCAGGCCTGGAAATTCTTGTAAATAGTGTTAGTGGGCAGTGAGGCACCAGGTCTGTAGTTGCCTTTGCCTCAGCTGCTGTAATAAAATAGCATTTCTTCTTGTAGCCCCACATTCTAACTATGTGGGTTTCCAGGCTTGCTCAAGCAACAGAGCACCACCAAACAGTAGCCCTTTCAATAAATGAGCCAGGACTTGCATAAGCGTCCACTGGGATGACAGTAGGGGATGAGAGTGAGGTCCTGCAAGTCATTCTCCTGCTTAAGACAAGTGAAAGGATTTTCTTCCTTGATGCTGCAGTTGCCCTTTTAATCCCTTATTTTGAATTGATAACAGTGGGGATGAGTCTTTAATCTAAAGAGGAATATTGTTGTTATTAATGATGATGAAAAATAATTACCTCATCTAATCCTGTCAATGTCATGCCCTAAGAAGTAGGCACTATTAGTATCTCCATTTTTCACATGAGAAATTGGAGCTTTGGTAGGTTAAGGAAGAACCACAGGATTACAGAGTTAAGAAGTCTCCAAATCCATCCCCTTAACCATTAGTGCTATAGATGGTGACTGTTCAGGAGCCTGATTATCTCTATGAATCATCATGGTATGACTCCTGGGGGAGGTTGCCCTCCTGGGAAAATTGCTATTCCCTGCCCCATCCAGACCTTTTATTTTTCACATAAAACAAGCACATCCAGAATGGCTAGCAGGCATCCTCACTATAATAAGAGCTACATTTTGAGGCTCAGTGCTCGTCTTTGTTTCTGCTTGTTGGGGAAATAAAGGAGAGAAAAGATTTGATTCAAATGCATTGTTATGTGTATATGTGTGTTTTCTCTTGGTAATTGGGTGTGCCTCTTAAAATCTGGGATTTGATTTAATTAATTGGTTTAAATTATTGCATGTATTTAATGTGGGTGGTACCCAAAAATTGGAGCCAAATTAGTTACTTTGTGTTCTTTAATACTTACAGACCTTCTGAACTCAATATAGATAATTATACAAAATACTACGTGCATAATTAAAACATATTAGGCTATCTGTGATGTTTACAAAAACAAAGAGTTATGTGGAATAGTAAAATTAATCATGATCATGATGACCAGTTTTTGAAAACCTACTATGTGTTAGGTGAATCTATACGCATCATCTCATTTACTTTTTAATATTTAAAGAATTCTACAATTAAAGGTGGCTCTCTACCTGTCTTACAGAAGAAGAGGCTGAGGCATGTTGAGTTTAAATAATTTGATTGAGTGAATTCAGATAGTTAAGTGAGCAGCAGAGGCTAGATGAGACAGGGAAGGGAGTGGAATCCTTATCCCAAACTTTTGATTGGCCAAATGTTTCTAGAAAGAGAACAAAGGAGCCCCAGGGCTGACTGGACAGGTGGGAGAGTGGTGGATGACGAGCTGCTGGCTTTGTTTTATTCCTGTGTGTTAATGAAAGAATGAAAGCCTCCTCCTCACGCACTCTGCAAAACTAGACCATCTGTGCTCCCTTATTACCCACACTTAAGCACACGTTATCATCCAAATACTTACTGTCAGTTTTTTTTTCGTATTTCCTAAATTGTCCTGAAGGACTCAAATGGCACATTATGGATGTTCAGCTTTTATTTGACTGCTGTAGTATCGAATGGTAGGAAGAGTGAAGTGAAGTAGGATTTTGGAGTTACTCTTCTTGCTGAAAATTCAACTTGAAAAACCCTGAACTGCAGCTGAATAGATTACCCAATAAATTGTTTTATGCCCTAATCATCATGCCACTATGTTGTATTTCTTAGGTTCTTATTCAGGCTCAGGTCTTAGAACCTCGTTATCACAGTTCTCTGCACACAGCAAAGAACATCCTAGATTATCAGATCTAAAACCACAGGGAGCAATGCCCAGAACCAGCCAGGGCTTACATCAGCGAGGGTCAGAGTGTTTTTGACCCTCTGAGGCTCACCGTACCTGAATATGATTCCATTTGCACCCCTCCTCCTGTTTCCTCTGTGGGGAGGGCGCTGTGGAGACCATAAAGCCTCCAGGGTGTTTCTCTCTCCCTCTTCCTAGAGAGCAGCATCTCCGTGGAGGTGGCCAGCAATGCCAGCGTCATCCTTGAGGGCGAGGACCTGCGCTTCTCCTGCAGCGTCCGCATGGCAGGAAGGCTGCAGGGTCGCTTCTCTGTCATCTGGCAGCTTGTGGACAGGCAGAACCGCCGCAGCGATATCATGTGGCTAGACCGGGATGGCACCGTGCAGCCAGGCTCGTCCTACTGGGAGCGCAGCAGCTTTGGGAGCGTCCAGATGGAGCAGGTGCAGCCCAACTCATTCAGCCTGGGCATCTTCAACAGCAGGAAGGAGGACGAGGGCCAGTATGAATGCCATGTGACTGAATGGGTGCGGGTGGTGGATGGCGAGTGGCAGATTGTTGGGGAGCGCCGGGCCAGCACTCCCATCTCCATCATAGCTCTTGGTGAGTGAGCGGTGGGACTGGCAGTGGGTCTGGCATGGAGACAGCTTCAGTGTCAAACACCTTATCCTGACTTTTGTCTGTCAGAGTTCTAGCAGGAAACTATGGCCAGTCTTTT
The DNA here is from genome assembly GCF_000001405.40 of Homo sapiens. Lineage (NCBI taxonomy): Eukaryota > Metazoa > Chordata > Mammalia > Primates > Hominidae > Homo > Homo sapiens. Next base: position 91,752,645 of record NC_000002.12, read on the forward strand.
ACCTATAGAGTTTGAAGTACTTTCCTTTATACCTATTTTGTTTCTTATAAGGGTTTAATTAATTAAGATAGTGCTAGCAGGGACTAAGGGACCCACAGTGGATGATGGGGCTCCTGAGGGATAGCAATAGCTGGGAGCTGTGACTACTCCTAGTCTGGCTGGGAGAGAGTGATGTTATCAGAACTCTATCCAGGTTAGTGAAGCCACCCAGCCATAGTTGTGGCCCCAGGTGGAGGAGCATGGCCACTGCCAGCCTGGCCTTAAAGAGAGCAGAGTGGCTGAGCACTGTGTGGCATGTCTTTCCTGCCCTGCTTCTCAGGGGCCAGCCTTCCTGAAAGAGAGCAGAGAAGGGTATAAAATTATCTGTTGTCATTTATTTAGCATTTACTATGTTCCTGGCTAATCCTTAACACTTAAGCTTAGTTGTCCCATTGAATCCCCACCTAGCCAAGTGACAGACACTTTCATTTTATGGAGGAAACTGAGACTGAGACACATTAAATACTTTGCCTAAGGCTAGAAGTTTCTACTACCTGATGGGGCCCATACCTAACAAAGCTATTCCCTCATTAGCATGGAATGAAAAGATACCTTGAGATTTGCTAAAACCAAGGAAGATTAGATTTGCTTCTCATTGGGGTAAAGAGGCTTCTATCAACATTTATCTGCTTGGATATAATCAGTATATTAGATTTTAAACGACCAGTCTGTGACTTTGCTGGGAAAGAAACTTGTTATGTCAGGTCTTCCTGTTTATCAGGAGACATCGGTTGTCCTCAGCAATTTTATGTCCCACTCCCTGGGACTGTGTCACCACCTTCCTTGCAGGTCGGGATGGTGGTGCTTTTGGATACTTCCAGTAAAGATGGCAGCCCCGAGTGGTTTTTGTCCTTAACAGAGTCCTCCATTTTCTTACCCCTCTGAGATTAGAATTACATTTGTTTTCTAAAGCTTAATCCTAAAGATTGACCTGCTTTTTGCAGTAATTATATGGCTCAGATTTCTGTCTTAGAAACTTCCTCCAGTGATTGCGTTTCCTGATCAGCTCAGTTCCTGTGTCCATACTCAGCACCTGTGTGGACCCAGTCAGATGGAACTTGGGGGACAAATTTTGGATGTCCAGTACTGGTGTTTTTTTTTTTTTTAAGCATCCTGGAAGGTTAGGAATGTCCAATGAGTGATTAGAGTTAGTGAGGATTGTTTCTCTAGAAGTAATTTATGGTATCAGGTTATCCCCTGAGTTTTTTCTTACTCACCGTATGTCTGGTGGTTCTCACAGCCAGGGGCACTGAGGGGCTCTGCCCTGGGATCTGGAGGCCAGCACTGTTCACCTGATCTCCACCACTGAGATACTTCTGGCTACAGCCATAATCAGGTGGCCCAAAGGACTGAACAAGGAAGAATGGGAGGGCACTCTAGACTAATTAAGGTTGTCTTTTCAGTCTAAAGTTAACAATGACACACATGAATTTTCATATCAGTATAATTAGATGCAGGTCCCAAATGTACAATGGGCCATTATGGCTGTTCAGTTAGAGCAGCTTGGGTGCTCTGTGACTGTGGCATGTGCCTGTGTCAGGACTAGACAAAGTCATTTGCTTGGGGAAGCTCTCTCCCCTTCAGGTGTGAGGCCAGGAGCACCTGGTGTGGGTCCTGTCCCTGAGGTTCTGTCCTACACCACCCTCATGCAACACCTACTACACACAGGTGCACAGTGACTGTCAGAGGTGCTTCATGTTTAAGGATGGGCCTCCGTGTCATAAACTTTTTTAAAGGGTATATAGAGATGAAATCCAAATCAAAGGTCCAGAGTTTTCAGCAAATTGTACCTACCTATTTGCCAACTTAACCTCACCATAGAAAGCCAAAAGATTCATCCTGTGGCCAGTCTTTCCCATTACAGAGTTTAAAGTACTTTTTTAAAATTTCTATTTCATTTTTTAACAAAATATTTAACAAAATATAGTATATCTCATGTGCCAGGTACTATTTGTAATATTTATAAACACTGATTTATTTAATCTTCACAGAGACTCATTTTACAGATTGGAAAACAGAGGCAGAGAGAAGTTAAGTAACTTTAATGTCACTCAGCTGGGAAGTGTCAAAGGCTTGGCTGCTGGCTCCAGAGTCTAGACCTTTAACCACTGTGTTATGCTTTCCATGGGTAAAGCAACCTAAAAAAGCCCCTGGAATCAGTTACATGTGGTTGGAGACTAACTCTGTCATTGACTTACCAAATGCTTGATATTGGGCAATTTATCTAACCTCTCTCTGCATCAGTTTCTACATCTGCAGGAAGAGATGACAAGCCTGCCTGTTCTACAAGGTTGTTTTGGGGATTCAGTGGAGCATGATGAGAGCAAAGCAGTTGGCACCATGCTTGCACCTAGATAGTGCTCAATAAATACTGGCTACTGTTAGCTTTATGATTGTGATCAATGTATGAATATTAAACAGTATTTCCAGGCTGAAGGAACTCTGAGGTACTCATATTGAGGAGTCAGTATTAGAGCTTAGCAGTGCTGCCCATTCAATAAGGAATATTGAGAGACCCACAGCCGCTGAGACTGCAGAACCCTGCATTTAGGACAATTGTCCCACCCCACTGGAGGTCCCCACCTGCTCTGTTCTTGGATTTCATGAGGGACGTGAGAAAGGGACTGGAGGCCGACTCCATCTGCTTCCCTTCTCGGCACCAGTGCACTAAGGGACCAGGAAAAGAGGTGTTGGGGCTGTGTGGTTGTGTTTTCCTCCTGTGCAATGGAGGAAATTGGCTTTGGGGTTTTCTTTTCCTGTTTTCTCATGGAATCTCAAGATTTCTAGGAGCAACCCTGCCTACATGCAATCAGTCCCTGAGAGGATTGTGATGTCTAATTCCAGGGGAGGAGCAAATGCACGAGGATCTCATTGGGAAGGGTTAGGCTAGTGCTGCTCAGGGGGAATTGTGGTGGGCCTTTCTTTGGAGTCTTGGAAACTCTTGGACTGGGCCTCAGCAGGATACTAAAAGCAACACTAGCCTGAGAGCTCAAAAGGGGCCCCGAGAGCCTCTGCTCCACACTGCTTGCTTTGCCAGCTGCCCCATTGCTGATGTCATACTGCCCTGAGAAAGCCACATGCCTCCTCTGGTTGAATCTCTCTGCTCTCTCTCCAGAAATGGGCTTTGCAGTCACAGCCATCTCCCGGACACCGGGGGTCACCTACAGCAACTCCTTTGACTTGCAGTGTATCATCAAACCCCACTACCCTGCCCAGGTCCCCGTGTCAGTGACATGGCATTTCTAGCCGGTGGGCACAGTGGAGTTCCATGACTTGGTGACCTTCACCCGGGATGGAGGGGTCCAGTGGGGGGACAGGTCCTCCAGCTTCCGAACCCGAACTGCCACCGAGAAGGCTGAGTCCAGCAACAACGTCTGCCTAAGCATCAGCCGAGCCAGTGACACGGAAGCAGGCAAGTATCAGTGTGTGGCAGAGCTGTGGCGGAAGAACTGCAACAACACCTGGACGCAACTGGCGGAGAGGACCTCCAACCTGCTGGTGATCAGGGTGCTGCAGCCAGGTGAGTGCTGAGGACCTGTGGGCTATGTGCCCATGCTGCCTGAGCAGACGTGAGGGAAAAAGAAAAGTGTGCATGGAGCCCTTAGCATCACTTCCCCCTTTCCCAGCTCTTCATTTAGAGACATTGCAAATCAATAGGAAGTTTTAAGAATCATGCAGTGGACACTTGTATTTCCTTTCCTTGATAGCCAGTTGTTGTCTGACAGCATTTGTTTTCTTCCTCTGTGTGTATGTTTGTTGTTGTTGTTGAGCCATTGGAGGGAAAGCTGTGGACATTGGGACACTTCCCCCTAAGTACTTCAGCATGTAACTCCTAAGAACCTACCCACCCACTGCACCATTATCACACCCTTGGGGTTTTACGTTAGTGTAGTCCTATCACCTACATTTCCCCAGTTGTCCCAATCATGCCCTTTATTTTTCCCTTTCAGATTAGGATCCAACCAGGGATCACACATCACATTTGTTATCCTGTCTCTTTAGACTCCTTTAATCTAGAACAATTCCCTAACCTGTGTGTTTGCGTGTGTGTGTGTGTGTGTGTGTGTGTGTATGTGTGTGTCTGTAGACATGGACATTTGTGAAATGCACAGGTCAATTGTTTTAAAGAAAGCCTTTTTCTTTACTTAACCTCATCTCCTGTAATCCTCATACAATTATGTGGAAGTGATATCATTGTCTCCTGTTCATAGACAAGGAAATTGTGAGTAAAGAGGGAGGGTAATAGGCACCTATTGAGCATCTTCTTTGCATGAGGTGCTGAAGGTCAGTTATTCTATTAGAATTGCACAACAACCCCAGGAAAGATTTAAGTGACTAGCTTAAGGTCATGTACCTAGTGAATGGTGGAGACAGGATTTGAACCCCGGTTGTCTCCCACAATGTTGCCTACACCCAGGCCCTGTCCAGTTGTATGGGCCCTGAATTTGAGCTCCTTTCTCTATGGAGGCTGAGTCTGTCTCAAAGCGGATCATCAGGATGCATTAATTTGGGGAGCATTAGTCAGTGGGGCTTTCTGCAAACACTCTCACCTTCGTCAGGCTCTTCTGCTGACATGCGGGAGGAGTTAAGTACATGCAGCTCTTATGGTTTTCCTCCATCTGTCCTTGTCTCCTGCCAGGTTAGAAGCTGGTGGAGGGTGGAGCCCAGGCGGTAGGCTCCTGTGTTCCTTCCCTCACCCAGCCCATGCCTCGGCTAGAACAGACACCTGTGCAGGCAAGGGCAAGGGTTTGACTTTGCAAAGATGGCTGGAACGCCTTGCCAAAGGGATTTTTCTGCCCACTAACAGCCATGGTTAGGGCCTGACCTGGTCTGCCCGACTACTTTAGGTGGCCACAGTGTTGTTTTCAGCAACATGAGGTTAAATAACGGTAACCTTTGGGTTTCTCCTTCACCTCTTCTAACCCCATAACAGAGTTCTGTTCTGTACCAGATTTGGAACAAGTGAGTTGTATAAATGATGAGACTGTTCCCTTGGCCAACGAGAGCCTAAACTTTGACTGACAAGAGGCTCAGGGAAGAGGCTGTTTTACTTAAGTGGATTTTCAGGTTAATGGAAGGTTAAGCAGAGACCCCATTTTATGTGAACCCTTGTTGTGGAAAATGTCGAGGTACCCACTTGCCTGCGTTATTGAGTGGGACATTAGGATTGTAATTGCACCTTTTTTGGTCCCCTGTGGCTCTCAAAGTCAGTTTTCTGAGCAGCATTGCCCATCACATGGTTCTGCAGCTATAGAAGGTAGAGGAGATGCTGACCTCAAGACCTTGTCTGATATTGCCTTTTTGAATCCATCCCTAGTATTTGCCTGTTTCTGGTACTATTTGGAATCTAAGACTGGAGTGCCTAAGGGAAGAATACAGAATTAGTTCATTGAAGGTTCTAATTATTTGGATTAATTTATGGTGTTACTAAAGGCAGACAGGGAAAAATATGTATGAAGTACCTCTTGGATGCCAGGTTTATGCTTAGTGCTTTACTCATGTTTTCTTTTTTAAATTTATCCAACAACCTAATAATGTAGGTGTTTGTATCCCTATTTTGCTAATGAGGAAACCAAGGCTCAAAGTGGTCAGGAATCTTGATGGAGGCAAGCCAGCTGGTTAAGGGGCAAAACTGAGATTTGAACTGAGATTGGAGCCCAGGTATCTCTGACTTCCATAGAGCAAATGTTTTCCTTTATACCATAATTGCCTCCTGGGTAAAGTAGCTGGAGGGTTGGGAGACCCCAGATCTGCTCTGAGGTTGTCTTTGTGTCTTGGGTGTCTCGAGTTGGTTTCTGTTGTGTTTTCACTGTAAAATGAGAATGAACAGTGGTTGGCAGAGGAGACTTATGAGTATCACTGTACTTGGGCTGTTATGAGGCCTCTACTTAAAGGTGCACAGTAATATACTTTTATGACCCTTTGGAGGCTAGGAAGAGCAAAGGTGGGTGCTTGAGGCCGTGCAGGACTCCCAGAGGGCAGCTGAGGCACCAGGAGAGTGCATCCCCTTAAGTGTTACTGTCTCTCCTCTATTAAATATTTATGCATTTAGCACTTAATATTTTCCAGAGAGCTTCATAAGAGTTTTTACTCTTTCTTATATATTTTGGTGCTGGTGCATTCATTTTGGGGAAATAGAAGTGGAAAAATACATGAGAGCTGACTGTGCGCTGGAGACTGTTGGACACTTGGTGTATATTATCTCACTTAATCTTCACTGCAACCCTGGGAGGAACATATTGCTTTCCCATTTTATAAATGAAGTAACAGAGGCTCTGAGAGGTTCTCAGTTCCTCAAATTAAACACCTAGTGAGTGGGGGAAAGTTGGGATTTGAATCCAGGTGTGCCTTGTTAAAAAGTAATTGTGGTAGGGAGACTTTGACCTTTTTAAAGGCTATGTAATCAGAGATTCTTCTTTCTGCATTCAGTTAATGCTGTCCTTTACAGAAGAATTTTCTCCTTGTAGATTGATGATGTGGAGGAGTTATGGCACTAGTGTTACTGGTAGTAACAACAGTAGCAGCTAATATTCACTGAACATTTCTTGTAAACCACTGGGAATGCTTTACACATAATAACTTAGTTCCTTGTTTCTTAATCCATGCAGTGCTGTGAGGGGGACCATTTTACCCAAGTTCACAGATGAGGACACTGACACAGAAGTTACATAAGTTGCCCAGTGTGCCATAGTAAGTGGCAGAGCCAGGATTCAAGTCCAGACAGGCAGTTTGGCTCCAGAGTCCAAGTTCCTAATTTTATTATTATATGTTCTAGACAAGTGTTTTTCTTCTCAGGAATCCTCTTTGGTACCGTATGCTTGTAATTAATGTTTCCTCTCTCTGGTTAACCACTCCTGATTTCCTAATCCCCTTTAGCAAGTCCTTAAATTTGTTTTTTGGAAGTTGGGGTCATAAGACACTGGTAGAGGTTCCTCAAGACACAGTTTGCTGATGGTGTAGAAGTTTTATCTTGTGCCTCTTTTAACTCCTGATTCTTCCAGCTTCTGCCACAAGGTGGCTCTAAGACCTGGGGATACCAGAGCTCAGAACCAGCGCTGTCCTCTCTTCTTTTGCTCTCCCTGCATACCTTGCCCCTCAAAACATAGATTCTTAGCCCTGCTCTGGTGTCGTCCATAGAAGTGTCCCCTGCTACCCCCGTTTTAAAGAATATTGTGTTAAATATTCGTATTCCATCAGAATCAAATAGGAACCCAGGGACTGTTGACTCACTCATGCTGGTCCATTTACCATCAGCCTTCCACTGCTGTGATATCATTTATCACAGCAAGCTTCTCTGTGGTCTGTGCCCCAGACTCGTCCCTGCTGATCCTGCCCCCATATCAGTATTCATCAGAATCTCTGGTTGGATGGCACAGTTGACTTGTGGATCTGTTATTTGACCATGCCCTGTGTGTGCTTCCTGTTGCGTATGCACATCCCCAACAGAATCTTCAAGGAATGCCATCACTGTCATGTTGCCATTGATCTAGCTTAGTCTGATCCTCATTGATCACATAGTGTGACCCCTCAAGGGGTGCTTAGGCAAGACTTTCAGCCAGTTCACATATTTGATTGTTAGCTCTTAATCAGTTTTCTCTTTTAATTGTAAAGCATAATTGCCTTGCTTCCTTCTGATTTTCTTTAGCTCAAAACGCCCTCCAATTACACATACCTAAATACAGAAGCAGTAAGGGAAATGTCAGCACTCATTTTCCAAATGTTTACGACAATATCTTGGTTTGGCTATTAAAATTGACAAAGCCATAAACAAGTTTCCATGAGGACAGCCTCCAGTGGTGGAAAGCTGACTTGTCAGAGGGTGTATTCTGCTGGGATTTTACTGATGGGCACTCAGGATGAATATTTAATACCCTCTGGATGTTGCCAAATCGGTTTTCTTCTATTTCTTATTGCTGACCTGGCAGATTGGGATAGCAGAGGGCTTTTCTTTGACTTCCATGAGTCCAGAGCATGTGAACACTGGCTCTCCTTTCACATTCTGAGGGATGACTGCCCCATCCCTCAGAGGACTGGCCTCTGCCTTCTTTCAGGGGAGTGCGGGGTTCTCCTTCTTCCATCCCAGGTGGCTTCTGCCTGTTGTCTGTGCCAAGATAGAATGGGCGTGAGTGCAAGAGCCCTAAGAGGAGAGCCCAGCCCCTCCCAGATGCCTCAGGCCTGTTGTCATGGTAACACCGGGGCACTTGTTATTGGCATCAACGAGCCAGGGTAACTGCCCTGCCTGCAGACAGGTAAGGCAGGGTAGGGCGCATCTGGGTAACCTTCATTAGCTATTTCTACCTGCAGACTCTTGCTGCTTTCCCCTTGCCCCTCCCTCCCTGTCTCTCTGCATGCATTGAGCACCTACTAAGTGCCAGGCTGCCATGCTGGTGAGGCTGCTGAGATGGGTGTGTCACGTTCCTGCCTTGCGGGCTCTGTGGGAGGCAGCAGGCCTAGGGACAGAGGAGAGCAGAAAAGCATTACAGGTGTGGAGGCAGAGCCAGCACAGGGCATGAACACGGGGCAGGGGGCAGGGGGCGTGAGGAGGGAATGGGGTAGGGGTGAGGGTGGGAGGTTGGGAAGGAGGAGTGGAGCATTTCAGGCTCAGAGAAGAGTGTGAATAAAGATAGTCATGGAGGGTGGGAGCAGCATGCTTATCTTGAGATGACTAAAGCATGGGGTCTGGGAGGGGTTCACCCCCAGGCAAGCTGGCAGGGATCAAGAAGTCCCTTTTGTACATGGGAGCATGGGGTGAGGGTGGGCATATGTAATAGCTAAAAGCAAGGACAGACCAGATGGCCTGGGTTTGAATCCCAGCTCTACCACTAAGCCAGCTGTGTGACCTTGGGCAAGTGTCTTTATAAAATTGGGAATAATATTTATTTCATAGGATTGGTGAGGACCAAATAGTTAATATTTATAAAGTGCTTAGAATAGTGCTGAGCACATAGGACCAGATGAAAGTTTGCTAAATAAATAAGAATATCCTAAACTCAGAAATTAGGACTTTAGCCCGTACCCAGATCATATACTCCATTTTTGTAATAATTTATAATATTCCCTTTACCCGGAAATGAAATTCATATACAATATAACATTCCTAATCATATCTTTAAAATTTGCTATACTGTCCTAGTTGTGGGATAAAGAAAGTTTTTTTTTTTAAAGTAGATCATAGTAAAATAATGTGTTTCAATGTGTAAATGCTCAGGACAGCTATGCTAGGAGGCACAGTCACAGTCAACGCTGTCCCTAAATGCACACTGACAGTCACCGTATCAGACTTGGTACCATGAGCAGGACTGCCATCCTGACAGGGTTTCTGAAGTCCTGAGTAACTCTTGCTACAATTCTGAACAAAACAAAGGAAAATCCTCTCTTGACTGACCTGGCATATATTAAAACCATGCAAAATAAAAGTATTGTGATTATAGTAAAATGAAAGTAGGTTCTAGGCTCAGAGGCATAATTTTTGCCCATATGAATGTCATTCGAAAGTCACACAGGACACGAGGCAGAGTTTTGTTGCATGGAGTTGTCCCAGATACGATTTTACATCTTTAATGGCTTTATTCCATTGAATATATACCCCTCCCCAAATCAATATGGCAACCAGAGACCTGCTTGCAATTAGCTGCCTTATTGAGAACTGCTGTCACGGGCTGTGGGGTGGGCAGCCGTGGGCAGTAGCATGCCCCATTTGCCATTTAGGGAAATCCCCTGGCTGTGGCTAGGCCGAGAGGGAGGGAGTGTCATATGCAGGCCAATTATAAGAGCCTGAGAAAGAGATCATTGAGGGCCCAAATAGGGAATGGTCATGTGGAGAGAGCAGGGAGCCAAGGGGTGTTAAGGACAGAGGGACTCAGGGGTAGTAACAGTTTGAGTGGCAGGCGCCTGTGCCACTGGCTTCCCATGCAGCTCACCCTGCATTCTTTCCTTGTCTCTCATCTGACTTGCTTCTCTCCACTTGAAACATTTCTCCTGCCGCAGCCACTGGCCGCCTCTATCTCTAGCATTAATGTCTGTTGTCTTTAATAAAGAGCAGTGTCTTCCTCCCTCAGTGCCCATCTCTTTGCACCTGCCACTCTGGCTGCTGCTCACACCACTGCACAGAAACCGCTTTCTCCAGACTTACCAGCAACCACCTCAGCAGCACAGCTGTTGCTACTCAAACTTGAATGTGCACCAGAATCAACTGGAGGGCTCGTGAGCCTGCAGGTTGCTGAGCCTTACTCGCAGTTTTTCTGACTTAGCAGGGGCTGGCAAATTCCCAGGTGATGCTGATCTGCAGATCCATGGCATGCACCCTGAGGGCCACAGGTGGTCAGGATCAAGTACAAGCTGCAGGCCCCTTTTAGAGTGGCCGAAGCTTACCTTTCTAACCTCATCCACTACACCTGAGCACTTGCTCCTCCTTGAATAGAGTGCACAGGGTAGTTGTCATCTTTCTTCACTTGTCCCCTCTCTCTGGCGTGCCCTTTCACTCTCCTTCTCCACTTGTTTCTCAGGGCCTAGCTCAGAGGTCACATACCTTTTGAAATGTTCTCTTTTCTATCAAAATCAGAATTGCCCCTCCTTTTAAAAAGTAACCACATTTATTCAACCATTCATTGATTAGTTTAACAATGATTGGGTCAGAGTCCCTGCCCTGCATATGCTTAGAATTTTGTAAGAAAGAGAAGACTTTAAAAATTACCTTCGTTGTAAGGCAGCAGTAACAGCTATAGTGGAGTGTAAGGAAATCCTTTATTGAAGAAATAAATGAGTTTTGAGTGAGAAGAGCACACACAGAGTGGAATCTGAAGGGAGGGTAGGCTGGCTGAGAAAGCTGCTGCTGGTCTCCGCTGTGGAGTTCTTCCCTCTTCCTGATGTCTCACCTTGAAACCACCCTATCCTGGCTTGTAACAAACGCAACAGCCTCTCCTACCATACAAAACACAGATCTTCCAAGTTTTAATCACAAGCCTGGGAAGGAAACTCTCCAGCTGCAGAAAGAAAGGGCCACTCCCTCAAAGCAGGGCCTGGCCCCTGGGGGCTGCTGTGAAGGCAGCTGCTGGCGTGAGCTGGAGCAGCTCTCGGACCCTCTTCCTGTCTCTTGCTGGATTCTTTCTTCCTCCTGCCAATTCACTGTTGGGGGTTAACCAAGCCTCACTCTTTTCTTTCACGTCTGCATTTATGGCCTCTCAAAGCCTGTTCACTCACACGGCCAAGTCCAGGGTTTCTCAGGCTTGAAGCTACTAGTGAATCACCTGGGGATCTTGTTAAAGTGCAGATTCTGACTTACTGGGTCTGGGGTGGGGCCTGAGAGTCTGCATTTCTAACAAGCTCCCAGTGCTGCTGGTCTGAGAACAGCATTTTGAGCAGGAAGATTGCCACTTATGCTTGACAACTCCCAATCTAAGTGTTGAACTTTGAACTTGGGACAAGGCACAGAAACCAAAAAGGAATGAGAATAGCTAAAATTCACTGGGTGTTTGTTATATACCAGGTTCTGTGCTAAACTATTTTTATAGACAATTGCTTTTAGTCTGCACAAAACTCCTAATGGAGATAGAGACATTGTTCTTATTTTGCAGATGAAAACACCTGTGGTCTCTAAGTGGGCAGGGCTCTCCTAGCTCTGTGGAGGAAGGTGGTGCACGCAAGCTGTACACCGCCCAGGGCAGGGCTCTGGCAGGACATGGGAGGGCTCCCTAATTATATGTGGAGATTCCAGTCTCCCCTGTGCCTCAGGAAAGGTTCTACCTGCCCTGGAGATGTGGGAGGAAATCCAGAGCATAGAATAGGAGCTGACCCCTTGCCCACCTGTCAGACATGCACCAAATTTAAAAAATGCCTCCCTTTCAAGCTTCTCAACACTTCACAATATTTTGACATGGGAAGGAAAAAAAAAATGGAAATGCTTTGGAACATTTCTCTTCCTTGAATTCTTGTTCTCAGACCATGTGACTGAATAGAAGTTTAGTCACAGGATTCCAGTTTAACATATGCAGTTACTATAGCAATTGAGGTTTCCTTAGTAACAGTTGCAAAAATAATCCGGCCCCAATTAATAATACATTTTAAAGCTCTTTCTACTCCATGCTGAACAATCCAGTTTTTTTTGGCCAAGAACCAGATAATTCAGGTGGTGTCATTTGCACTGATATAGATATCATTTGCATGCGGTGAATTGGGTTGGAAAAGAATGAAAAGGGAGCCGGTTGTTTCAAGTATTATAGGAATCCAATCTGAAAAGTCGGCTGGCAAGCGAATGCAAATCTAGCTTCCAGAGCTTGGGAGTTAATGGTAAACCCTGTCCTGGATTCCTAGTGTGCCCTAGAGGACTTTCTGCATTTGAAGAAGGGAGAAGGCAGAAGATTGGACTTGCTAACAAAAAAGATGAACCCGGGAGGGTGGGGCCGTGGCACACAGGATTTCTCTCTAAGTGGTGCCTGGTGTGTTCTTGATGGCGTGAGAAGGTCTGTGGGTTTGTGAATTCAACAAGTCTTCCTGGAGAGAATGTCTGATTCACCGCTGGGAGATGCTCCGCAGTGTTGCTCAGTCATGGCATTGGGAATTGGACTTTGCCACACCTTGGCTTGCTAAATCCTTCCATCCATTCAGAACATTTGTCTGTGTGTTACAGGGAGACCAAGTGGCAGTCTGTGGCTTTCACAAGTTTTGGTTCTGTGATGCATGGGACTCAATCAACCCTTGATGCTGCCAAACCAAGCTTAAGCCAGCTGGCAGGCCAGGGTCATGACCAGTGGGCTGGGTCCTGGGTCTGGATGCAGTTCCTGGGGTTGAGCTGGACTAAAGAGACAAGAGTCTGACCAGCAGAGTGCTGGAGCCTGGCCAGGCATCCCTGCCCTGCCCCTGCCCCTGCCCTCCACACAAGCTCGGTTGGAGGAGGCCTAGATTACTGTCCCTGGGTGGAATCTCCACCTTGCCCCTGCTTTCTTTCTCAGCTGGGAAGTGGTTTGGTCCCTGTGGCGGAAAAACTAAGTGTGAAGAGAGTGGTGGAGGTGGAACAATGCTTGTGCTATTAGTTCCCTAAGAGGAACTTAGAATTGTTTTTTTTTTTGTTTTTTTTTTTTTTCATTTTTAGTAGCAGGAGAAGCGTGAGTGGGGGAATGCAGAGCCAAGGTTAATGATGACGGGGTGGGTGAGATCTCAAATCACCTTCCTAAGATGGATTTCATTAGACCTTGGCTTCTTGCCACTGGCAAGGTGAACATCGTCATTAATTAGCTGCTGGGGAGGCGCTCCACAGGCTGCTCTCTTGTCTGTTTTTGGAGCGGGACAGTGAGGAGAAGGGAGGATTGCAGTTGGCTTTGCCTTGTCCCGTGGTTTACTGTCTTCTCAGCCTTCTCTCTCACTCCCCTAGAGGAAGCCCCCTCTCCCCACCCCCGCAGCATCCTCTAATTACCTGTTGCCGTGTTTCTCCAATGTGCTCTCATTCGCTCACCCACTCATTCACCTATTTCAGCAAACACTGATCAAATGCTTTCCTGGCCCAGGTGTTGTGCTAGGCTCTGGGGGTGCAGCGATAAGAATGTCCGCTAGGCCGTCCACCCCATGAGGGCTGGGACTCTGGCTTACTCTTCAGGACATCCCCAGCACTTAGCATCCTGTGGGAAACTGAGTGGGCACTCCGTAAATACTGGTTGATTGAGTGGAAAGAGCTTGATCCCTGCCCTGGGGGAGCTCACCATCTAGGATATGGGAGAGAGATGTGAGGACACACAGACCAGAGATATATAGAGGGTGCTGAGGAAGGGTATGGAGCCCAGGGGGATGGGAATGAGGGATACGTGGACAGAAGGGTGAGGGTGGGAGGTGGCAGAAGGAGACAGGCAGAGAGGACAGCAAGGGCAAAGGCCAGCACTCAGGGAAACTGCACCAGGGGCGTGTGCCTGTGGAGGGTGCCTGAGGGTGAGTCATGAGAGATGAGTCAGGACACTTGGGTGAAGGCCAGATCCTGAAGGGACTTTGTGCTGTGAAAAGGAATTATTTCTCTCTAGTCCGTAGGTAGTTCAGAGCCATTAAACTTTTCAAGCAGAGACCTGATATAGCTAGATTTGTATTTCAGCAGGATCACCCTCAGAGGCCCTGTGATGGTGGGCTGTGCAGGCAGTGGATAGGGGAGAGATGGTGAAGGCCTAAGCTAGGCGCATGGCAAGGAGGAGACAGGGAAGGATATTTAGCGGTGGCCTGGGCTCCGTGCTGCCTTCCTCACACTGAAGCCAGTCGGTGTTAAATCCCCCAGGAACTGTGCTGGAGGAAAACTAACTCAGAGCCTCGAGGTGGATGGGCCACGTTTCTGGGAGTCTGTGGTGATTCCTGTGTTCCCCTTTCCTTTGCAGTGACAAAGCTGCAGGTGAGCAAATCGAAGAGGACCCTCACCCTGGTGGAAAACAAGCCCATTCAGCTGAACTGCTCAGTCAAGTCTCAGACCAGCCAGAACTCCCACTTTGCGGTGCTCTGGTACGTCCACAAGCCCTCAGATGCCAACGGCAAGCTTATCCTGAAGACCACCCACAACTCCGCCTTCGAATACGGTACTTACGTGGAGGAGGAGGGCCTGAGAGCCAGGCTCCAGTTTGAGAGGCATGTGTCGGGGGGCCTGTTCAGCCTCACCGTCCAGAGAGCCGAGGTCAGCGACAGCGGCAGCTACTACTGCCACGTGGAGTAGTGGCTGCTGAGCCCCAACTATGCCTGGTACAAGCTGGCAGAGGAGGTTTCTGGGCGCACAGAAGTCACTGTGAAACAGCCAGGTAAGGCCGCAGGGCACGGCTGTCCTGGGCCAGTGGGTTTAGTGCAGAGACTGCCTGGGGGTGGGTGGGGCTCTGTGGGGCTGGTGTGGAGAGACTGTCTGCAAGGTGCATGCTGAGTGTGGGTGCAGGTACACAGACCATCACCCTAGCACACTGCAATCCCATCCATTTTACCTGCAGTGGGTCCTGATGCTGATGGCAGACTCATGGAAGCATCCTTGACTCTGCTTCTGTGGATAGCATCTTCACCAAGGAGCAGGGCAGCTGTGGTTAGCAAAATGTGGCAAGGCAGGATTCATGGCAGCTCCTGAATCTTCTTCTGGGTTTGCAGTTTGCACCCTGAATTTTGGGCTGACACCAGCTCCACACCCAGAGTTCCTACCTAGAAGGCATTTTCTGGTCTTATGCATCTGCATCCCCCTTCTTCCTTAGCTCCCAGCCCAGCCCAGACAAGCCTTTCCTGTCTCCAAACTGAATCATTCCTCCTCTGGCCCTTCCTCGACCCCGTGGTGTAGCCCTTATTCCTCTCCCTCACAGGTGGCACTCAATCTCTGCCAGAATGCTTCCAGGGAGGGAGAGCTACTCACTCCACAAGCCTCAGTTCCACTTTTGGGCAGCTCTGATTGTTGAAAAGTTCACTTTCCTGTAATTTCCCTTTTGAGATCTGCCCATGGAAAAACCAAAGAGAAGTCTGCGTCATTTCCTTTCAAATACATGAAATGTATGCCCCTTCTCTGTTAAAGATCTCTAGTTCTTTCAACTTCTCACACAGTGTAGCCTTAAGGGCCTCTCCATCCCTCATTCTCACATCCCTACAATTCTTTGTTGTCTCTGCCTGTCCTTCCTGATGGGCCATGGAGGGTGCTGTGTTGCCACTCTTAGCCTTGCTAAGAGTGACAATTCTGGCAGGCTGCAGACCATGTGTGGACCTTGATCTGAGGGCTTAGAGGCTTCGGCCTGCCAGCCCTGTGGGGGCACCCACCCCATCTCATCTCATTGAATGGGGCAGAGCAGGTGAGGGCATGATGGATGGATGGGCCTCATCCCCCTGCTTCCGTTGCCTGGGGTCCTCAGTCAGCTTGTCAGCTCAGACCCCTGAAACTGGGGGTTGAGGAAGGACCCTCCTGGATCATGTGACTCCCTTCGGTCCAGGTGAGCAGGGTCCTTGGAGTAACAGCTCCTAGAGCCCAGCCTATAGCCCTGAGAGTTGGGGAGAGGGCCTGTTAGGAGAAGCATCCCCTGCCCTGGGGTTGTAGAGGTGATCTAGGCTCCTCAGACCTTGTGGGGCCTCAGATGCTTACATCTCCAGCTCCTCCTGTCATGGGCATCTGGCTGCAGCCCAGCTCTGTGGCCCCATCTCCCAGGGAACCTTTGGTCTAATCTGCCTCCTGCTGAAACCCAGCCTCATTCAGCCCCACCGAGGCTTTCAGAGTTCAGGTCTCTCATTCAGGGTTTGAGACCCCACCGGGCTCAGAGAGACCTGCAGCCTGCACCTGTCCCAGATCACACAGCCCCAGGG
Source organism: Homo sapiens (assembly GCF_000001405.40). Lineage (NCBI taxonomy): Eukaryota > Metazoa > Chordata > Mammalia > Primates > Hominidae > Homo > Homo sapiens. The sequence continues at coordinate 91,768,959 of NC_000002.12, forward strand.
ATGGGACCAGGAGCCAGCCCACATCCCACCTGCAGCAGTTCCTGTGCCTTTAAAGCCTCCCCTCCCCCCCGCCCCTCCCCCAGGCCACTGGGGGAGGGAAGGAGGAGCTGGGTCACAGCAGGGAATCTTAGCTTGGTTTTGGTGTGCTGCTGGACGACCAGACCGGGCATCGGGTGAGCCCAGAAGTGAGAGCAGTTGGCTGCGCCCCAGTGCTGTGTGACCCAGAGGCGCCACTCACCCTCTCTGAGCTGGTGAACATCATAGGTGGGGAAGCTCAGGTCAGGGCACTCCCATGAGTGTCTGGAGGCCTGAGTCCCATTCTCAGCTCTGCCATATGCTTGCTGCTCTCTAGAGGAGTTCCTCTTCCTCTCTGAGCCTCGGTTTATATACCCGTGCAGTGGGAGTGAGTTGCACTTCGGGGTGAAGGGGGCAAGACTTGTGTGGGCGCATCCTGCAGAGGGATCCCACAGAAGGGGAGAGCCGTGGGTTCTTTATCCTACTGGGTCTGGGCTGGGGGGGCCTCTGTTTCTTGGCTGATGAGTTTATGTGAGTTTGAGTGAGGTATGTGGGTGGGTGAAAGGAGGGCTGGGGGGAGTCACCTGACTTGTGCGAAGAAGCTCTTGAGAGAGCCGTGGCTTCTTGGAATTAAGAGGAAAGAGTGCAGCATGAACAAACAGGCCCTGGAGGATCTGGCAGCCCTGAGTGGGGGTGGGGGGTCAGCTCTGGAGTAGAGCCAGAGCTGTGATGGGGTTGGGGGACCCTGTGTCCTTGGGCCATGCTTGCCTCACTCCTGGGTTCTGTTTGTGGCTGTGGATTGGGGTGGGGCAGGGCCGGTTGTGTGAGGGGTCATTGCCCAATTCCAGGGGGCACCTGCCACCTCTCAGCTATATATATAGGGATATATATAGTTCTTTCGACAGGTTTCCAGCAGGTAGTGGTTACTAAATCTTACTGAAGGGGTGTTTTTTCTGATTCTCAACTCTGTGCCGCAAGGGTGGAAACTGTGAGAGACAGATTCCAACTCCACATCTGGGTAGTAAGCATCCAGTCCAGGGGTGTAGATGGTCCTGGGGAAGCAGCCAGAGATCTGTACATTCTCATATCCAGGGATAGCGACTCCAGGCTGGGGGCTGGCAGGGTAAGGGGTGGGTGGGTCCCGGGCTCACCCGCAGGTCTGCAGACTTCCTGGGGCCAGCTGACCTCGGTAAATCCCTTTTGTCTAAGCTTCAGTTTCCTGCCTGTGAATGGGATTGGGACTGTGCTCTGGTTTCACCCTTGTGGCTCTGGGGTTGTGGTGACAAAGCCATCAAGCTGGGTTGAAGGATTAACCAGGAAACCTTAGACTGGCTGCCTTGTCTACCTCTTCCTCC